>NT_187585.1:71333-296895 GCF_000001405.40 Homo sapiens
TTCCCCACCCCTTCCCACCTGCCTGGCAGTGAGGCAGCTCCCTGGCCTCTGGGTGCACCTGGGCCTCCTGCCCAGGCCCCTTCCAAGGGAAGAGGGCAAAGGGGCTCCAGTGCCACCCAGGGAGTGTTGTGCCACGTGGGCCCCCCTGGCTCTGCCACTGACTCCCTCCATGACCTCTGTCCCCACCCTGAAGTTGACATGAATGTCCGCACGGAGCATCCTCTGCAGGTCTGTGAGGCTGTGGATGTGACAGCTCTGGCTCTGGCACAAACGTCAGCCCCAACCCACATGCAGGGAGGGAGGTGGCTGCGTGTCCAGGAGCACGGGGCCATGTGGCACCGGCTCATGTCAGCAGACACGGCACACATAGACCCCCTGGGGGCTATGACGAGGTGAGGGCTGAGCCGAGGGAGAATCCAGGAAGGCGTGCGGGCCGAGAGGAAGAGGAAGGGAGGCTGTGGTGGCTGGAGCCAGCTGGGGGAGGGAAGGCAGCAGGGGATGGGATCCCTCAGCCCCCACAGCCGTGGTGCGGACTTTGTTGTTTGCTCAGAGTACAAAGAAGAGGCCTTCTCCGGGTTCTTAGCAGACGAGCGCGACCTCTCCGACCAGGGAGACAGACAAGAGGGGAGGTTATGAGGTCACCTGGGAGAGGTGTGGGTTCCAGCTCCCGTCGCCACTCCCCGACTGGATGCCAGAACGAGCCTGTCGTCTTTCACCTCCAGACAGCAGGGCCCTGGCTCCCAGTATCAAAGCATGTACAAGAGCGGTCTCTAGGGCAGTTCTGCGTAGACGCCAAAGTACAGGAAGACGTGCAGGAACTTTGTGCCGTCGACCCTTGAACAATGCAGGGTTGGGGCACCGACCCCCGAACTGCCCAGTCAAAAACCCATGTATAACTTTTGACTCCCCAGAAACTTCACTAATAGCCTCCTGTTGACTGGAGGCCCTACCAATAACATAATCAATTAACACATTTTGTATGCTTCATGTATTACAATAAAGTAAAGTAAGGAAGAGAAAAGATATTCATTCAGCATAAGCAGATCATTGTAAAGGTCTTCATCCTCGTCATCTTCACGTTGAGTCAGCTGGGGAGGAGGAGGGGTGGCTCTTACTGTCTCGGGTGACAGAGGAGGAAGAAAATCCACGTAGAAGTGCACCCACACGGCTCAAACTTGGGTTGTTCAGGGTCGATGATACACAAAAAGGACATTCTAATCCAGTGGGGAAAAGGTCCATCATTCCATAAGTGGTGGGGTATCAGCAGGATAACCTGCAAAAGTAAGTCTGTAGGTCAGAAATCAATCCCAGGCGATTCAAAGATTTAGGGGGTAAAACACAAATCAAAAAAGTATTAGGAAAAAAGATTTTGGCGTTGGAATGGAGGAGGCCCTTCCAAGCACGCACAGGATGAGAAGGCATAAAGGAAAAGATGGATGGCTTTGACCACGTGAAAAAGTGAAAACATAAGTAAGACCTCTGTGTGGCAAAACAAAAAAATAATAAATGCCATAAACCCATACACGAGACAAATAGCACACTAGGGAAAAACATGTGTGATGTGTACTTGACATCTTTCTTAACATAGAGTCCTTACAAATCAATGAACGTGAAAAGGCCCAGTCCCAGCCTCAGCTTCTCTGCTCAGCACCCACCCTGGGAAGGAGTGGGCTTGGGGGGCTTCTACCCCCTCACTCCAGCCTTGGGGCCCCGGGAAATTGGCCGGGGCCTCACTTACTAATTCAACAAACATTTGTGCAGCGCCAACTCTACCCTCCATGTATTTACTGGGCACCTTCTAGGCTCCAGGCTCCAGGCTCTGGGAGACTGTCTAGGGTTAAGACGGTGACTGCCTGGCCTAGAGCTGGGCCTCCAGCTGGTGGCAAAACACCAAGCAAGGAGATCAATAAACCGGGACATTTCAGGGAGTGGTGAAGGCTTACAGGAACATGGGGAGAGATGAGACGAGGAGGCCGCCCAGGATTTTGAGCTAAGGTTACAAAGCAGCAGAGGACAGCGGGTGCAAAGGCCCCAGGGCCCAACTGAGATGGGCGCTCAGATCAACACGGGCATGCTCAGTGCCGGAGAGGGGCCAGCGGAGCCTCTGGGGGCACTGCAAAAGGAGACTGGATTTTACTCCCAGTCCAGTGGGAATTCTGCAGAAGGATTTGGCCCAGGCTGGGAGGGAAGGCTCAGCCTGGCTGTTGCCTGGAACAAGCGGGGAACAGGTTGGGGGCATAGCCAGGCAGTGAGGTGGTTGTGACAGTCCAGGCAGAAGATGCTGCCAGCCTGGGCAAGGGGCATGGGGGGCAGGCTCAGAGCACATGCTCCAGACCAGAGAGCCACAGACACCAGGTGCACACCAGGGACCCTGGGTAGTTGGTCGTGCCCTGTGGATACAGGATTCGGGCCGGCTTGGGAGGAATCTGAGCTCCCGCTGGGACACGCTGAGCTGTGGGGCTGTTGGCCTGCAGGCCTTGGAGCCCCTGGAGAGAGCAAGTAGCTGACGGGGACATCCTAGCTAGCCGAGGTCCCAGGAAGGGAACGAGGGTCGTGTGGTGACGATCTTGAGATATTCCCCCACAGTCGTCAGCCAGGGACATGGCGCCCCTGAGGCCCTTGGGGGGCCAAGCATCCGTCAGTGGGCAGAGGCTGGCAAAAGTGGATGTCAGCAGCAGGGGGAAGGGTCTTTCTTTCACCATCTTGGGCCTCTCTCAGAGGGAGGCAACCCCGCTCCTGGGGGGTGGTCAGTGAGGGCCAGCCAGGCAGCGGCAGCCCCAGGAAGGGTGTTGGGGTGGAGCTGACCAGGCCTCTGCCGCATGGTTGCGCTGTGCCGAGGACCCGCTGAGGACATAACCGACCATGAGCGGTGTGGGTCCCCAGCCGCAGCAGAGCTTCCTCTGGCTGCTCGGCAGACAACAGACACCAGGGACAGAGACAAGGTTGAGGATTTGGTCTGCAGCCTCTGAGCGGACACACTCACCCTCAGTGCGTGCCAATTCAGCCCCACCACAGGCGCCAGTCCCGAGCCTGAGCACAGGGGCTGCCACGACGCTCGACTCTCTGGGCCAAGACTCACACACAGCCTGGACACTGCCCGGGTGAAGGGCTCTGGGGGACAGGGGGAGCAGCTGGTATGTGTGTGACCATGGGTCCCAGACTCAGTGCCATCTGTCTCCCCATTAGGAGATGACGCCTGGTACCTGCCCAAGCACCCAAGCCATGGGAGTTGCTGCTTGCTCTCCACGCAGCTTTGTCCCAGCAGCACCCCCAACTCCTGTGATGGGTTGCAGGGGGTGCTCACCTCTGTGGCACACACAAAGGCCCAGGGGCCTGGGGGTGCATGCAGGTGCACTCCAACCCTTGGGCAGCCCAGAGAACAACCTAATGGAAAGTGAAGGGAATTGTACAAGTGTGTACAAGGGTGCAGGGTGGTTCCTGCCTTCTTGCACGCACAGTCTCCCACACTCATACAGCCACAGGTTCGTACGAGGTACACATATGTGGGCTCACCTAGCATGCCTCCCGTGTGCACAGCAGTGCTCCTTTGGCCTCAGGCCACAGGCATACATGTGCAACTGTACGTGCACTCTAGGAATCCCTAATGATCATGGCCATCGGGTGGCTCGCAGTGCACTGAGCACCATGCTCTGTCCCTGGTGTCTTCATGCCTCAGTCCACTTGATCCCCTCAGCATCCTCCTGGGGAAGGTGCTACAGCTGCCCTGTTTTATAGGCAGGGAAACTGAGGTTCAGAGAAGCAAAGTGACTTGCCCAAGGTCACCCGGCCAGGAAGCGGCAGAGGCAGGATCTGACCCCAGACCCGCTGCGGCACACACACGCCTGCCTGCACGCTCCCGTGAGGAGGTGCTTTGTGCCCAAGGCCCTGCAGCAGTGTGGGGGGTTCTGAGGCCATCTCCCACTGGCCACAGCACAGCAAGCTCCAGCAGGGCAGCTGCCCCAAGGCCTGGCGGTAAAACCTCAGCAGCGAGAAACACGGTCGACTTTTGTCCAAGAACTGAAGCACTAAAGCAAAGTCAAACACAATCGCTCCATGCCCTGCCACGAACCGCGACCTTACCACGTGCTGTGACCTATTGCCACTTGTGCCCAGCTCCACACAGGAGCCGGGTCTGACATCCGATTGCTCAGAGCCTGGTATGAAACATTCTAGGTACCGCCCTGAGAGTGGCTTAGTAACTGCTGGTTCCTCAGGACAGACAGGAGGAAGGCCAAGGTGACCTTTGCCCTGCGACCCTACAGAGGGCCCTGGGGAGGCCCTGCCTGGTCTTTAGACACTGCCCAACAAGGATGCTAGAAGGGGCAGTGAGTTTTCTGCCTCCTGGGGAACTGCAGCCCAGGCAGAGAACAGGACCCCCACCCTGGGAGCAGCGGGTGTGCCCGGCCTCTCCCGCCTGTCCCTGGCCAGTCTGCCATCCACGAGGCCAGGGCCTTTGGCGGTCCTAGGCGGGGATCAAGGCCGGGCAGGTTCTGCAAAAATTTCCCTTGAAAGACTCTTTTTCAAGATTTTCTTTTGAAAACAAATTCATAACCACATCAAACAGGAATCCCCGTTGCCTTGGGTTTGATCGCCGGCCGCCCGGGGCTCTCTAACTAGCTGTTATTCTAATTGCTTTTTTCTCTTCCGAGGGCTGCATAGGTCTCTTATGGTTATTAATTTGGTGAGTGCAGGCCGGGCACAAAGCAGCTTTTGTCTGCCTTGCCTTTTAATCACTATCAAATTGCAAATAATGGTGGAGGCTGAGATCCCCAAAATTGATCTGTCCCAGCAGTTCTTGGGGAACCGGCCCCAGTGCATAGAGCATGCACTGCCTTCCCCCAGGGCGGCAGCTCCCCGATGGCACCTGCCCGGATGCACCTCCGCATGGGTGGGGTCTGGCCTCGGCCATGGGAGGTGCTTCTCAGGCTCCTCCATCGCCAAAAAAAACCAAACGTGCCAGCGAGATGAAGGCGCCCTGCCCGCAGAGTGGTGGGGTGGGACTCTTCAGGGACACGTGCTGTGACAAGTGCTTGAGTCAGAGCTAAGACTCTGGGGCTGCCGAGGAGCCACCTGTAGCCCAGGCCTGGGCCCTTCTCACAAGGGGGCGGCACCATGATGCATCAAACTGTGGAACCGCCCTGGGCATCCAGCCCACATCCTGGCCCACCCCCGGGGCCTCTGTCACCAGCAGCTGGGATGATGAGAGCATGTCTCTGGGGCCAGAGACCCTAGCCAGTCCCTCAAAGCCCCAGTTGGCACAGGCAGCAGTTGAGGTGAGCCTGGGACCAGCCAGAGCCAGGCATGGGCTGACGCTGGCCCAGGCAGCTTCAGGGAGCCCTTCAGTGTCCGTCGGAGGCAAGCTCGGCCCTGTGGCTGCCTCCCGACCCCAAAGGTGGCTGAGTGCCTCTCTACACGGTGCCGGGACTCCCTGCCGGGAGGAGCTGTCACCAAAGTGGCTCAGGACTGAGCGCTGATTCCAGCCACACCCTCAGCCTGCACTGCCTGCCTGCGGCCCTGACACCCACTGTCTCTTTCTGTCCCAAGAATCCCCTGTGAAGGCCTCCACACCCATTAGCACATGTGGGACTTGGACAGATGTTCGAGTGCCATAATGTGAAAATTTATGAAACCACAAATGTTCATCTGTGATGTATTTGGTGCTTTAATTAATGCCAAACCAATTGATACCCAAGCTGGGGCCTGCACAGTTAGTGACAGTAAGCCACGCGGGGCAAACCTCGTTCCACACTACCAGTATGCGGGGCCCAGGGAGCTGAGGTGAGCCCTAGGACACAAGCCCAGGCTTTGCCCTCAAAGACCCACGCTGGCTGCACCTTTGATCTGTTACGCTCTCGTAGGTCTCTGGGCGTCAGTTTCCTCATGTGCACCCTGAAGGCTGAGAGACCTCCCATGACCCCTACCAGGCATGAGCAGGTCGTGGGACTGAGAGGGCTGGTCCTGCCGGCAGCAGGAGCCACGGGGGTCAGGGTGTGGCTGAACAAGAACGAGACCTCAGGCCGTTCCCCTTCCCAGAGGCCCCGCCCCACCCTGCCTTTTGCTTTCGCCGGCTCCTAACTTGACACACTGTGTCCCCCCATATGGCAGCTCCGTGGTCTCGAGATGGAGCCTTGGGGTGGGAGCTGTGGGGACAGGATGGGAGACATGGCACTTTCAGCCAGTGACTCTGACCTTCTTTTCCTGGGCCTCAGTGTCTGCATCTGTGGGATGGAGTGTGGGCCTCTGTGGCTCGTCCCCAAGTGGCTTTGCAGAGCACTGAAGTGCTGGCGGGTCCTTGGGTGTGAGAGACCCCGGTGGATGGCCGTGGGCCCTTGCCCGTGCCAAACCACAGAAGTCCTGCACCCCTTTCTTCCATAGTGTGGGCCTCACATCAGGTTTATCTGGGAAAAATAAAACATGGGGCTCCCTCTGGCCTGGACCGTCAGACCTCGGATGTACACCTGCCCTTGTGTTCAGGACAGTTGGGTCTCAGACTCACCCCATACCTGCAAGGCAGAACCACAGGGGAGCCAGGGAGCCTCCACACTGCAGCCCCCACCACCCAGGGCTGGAAGTGGGTCCCCTGGGCTCCTGCTCTGGGCAGGGCACAGTCCCACCCTCCCAGGTGGAGGCTGCCCACCTAGCCCTCTAGACAGACGCTCGGCCCCACTCAGGCAGGCGCCCCCCTCTCATCTCAACCTCTCACAGCACCCTGTTGGCCGCCTCTTCCTTAGCCTGCTCAGCCTCCGTGGTAGGTGCTGTGGGTGACCACCACAGCACCCAACCCTTGAAGCTGGCCCGGGTCCACCCAGACCCTAGCAAACTGGTTGGACCCTCTCTGGCCATCCCGGGGCTTGTGCCCACCTTCACCCAGCAGCATCTTCCCTGGGGTTGTTCTCACCCGCACAGAACCCAGCCTTGGCCCACACCTCACCCCAAGCCTATCCGGCTGGATCAGCAGTGGGGCCGGGCGCATGAGGGACCAGGCCCGCCCGGCGCAGCCTAGGGTGCAGACCCCTGGAGTGCACGGCCAGGTGGACCGGGCCAGCTCCCGCCTGCTGCCTGTGCTTAGGGCCAGTGGTTGACGTTGCTGTGGCTGAGTCATCTTCGTGCCTCTCTCTGGAGCCATACGTTTCCCTGAAGCAGCTCTGCTGTTCAGCCCTTATCGCGTGCTGATCTGTTTGCCCCTCCCCCACCACTTCTAGGTCTTTCCAGGCCTCCAGGTACCCACGGTGGGGGAGGGTCTACTTCATTCTCCACAGAGCACGCTGAGGGGCTCTCCTGCAAGAACACCGCAGGCTGAAGGACCAGCCCTGTCTCCTGTGGCCACCAACAGAGCTGTGCGCCCTCCCCGAACCCTCACTCATGCTAGGGCCCCCAGGTCCAACCTCCTAGGGAGAGGGGTCCCCAACCTGGACTCCCTCACCTGCCCTAGTCTGCCCCTGGGGTTGGCCCTGCTCCACCCAGCACCTGCTCTGAGGGTGCCAGGGTGCCGGCCTGCCGGCCAGGGCCTTCCAGTCTCCCCATCAAGGCTGGATGGCCACTTCCCACCCGGGGCGGGCTCCAGCCTCATTCCCCAGCGGTGCTGTCCTTCCAAGGAGCTCTCAGATCACCTGGCTGTCCACTCGTTTGGGGCTTCTCTGCTGCCTCCGCAGCACTGCGAGGCCTCTGATCACCTACTCTCTGTGCTGGGTGCATTTCGGGTTCTGTCCTGCCTTGACCTCCCTGCCAGCTTTGCAGGGCAGCCACCCTGGCACATAGCTCACTGCAGAACCAGCCCCTGAGAAGGTGGAGGCCACATGGCTAGCCAGAGGGCACGCTCTAGGGCACTGCTCTGACCACAGAATGTGGGTGCAGATGGTGTCTGGGAAAATAGTGGTGTCCCCGCTAGGTTAAAGACATGGCATAATGGTTCCTGGGGGATGACAAAAAAACCCACCCCCACCCCCTTGCAGAAAGCATCACAGAGGCACAAGCCCTGTGCCCTGCAAGCCCCTCCTGGAAGTGGCCCAGCAGGGGCATCCCCTGCACACCCAGGCAAAGCCCAAGCCCTCTGCCTCCTCAACCACCCCAGGCCCTGCCCATGAGCCAGCCTTGCTGAACTCTGCCCTCTGTCCAGTTCTCCTCCAGACACAGTAGACATAGCCCCCAGCCTTTCTTGACCCTTAACCCAAATGTCCCCAAGCCTGGCCTCAAGAAGCCAAAGGCTGCCGCAAACCCAAATATTTCAGGTCCGGGTCCCTGGTGCAGACCCTGCCATGCGGGGATGTGGCACAGAAGGCCGGCCAGCCTGGGGAGCAGAGAAGGAGGAGAGGAGAGCTCCTGGCCTTGAGCCTGAATGCCTGTGGACACATATAGGGACTCCCAGCACGCACGGGATGGATTCCAATCGGCACACATGCACATTCCTTGCACACACACAGGCGCGACCGAGGGCCTTGCAGACATAGGGTGCACACGTGCGTGCCGCCTGCATACAGCATGCACTTGCAGAGACGGTTGGCACCTTCCCTTCTCTGGCCCCAAACCTGGGCCCTGAGGCTGTCTGCACACCTGGGTGCTTCCCACCACTGACTCTCTCGTCTGCCTTTGTCCCCGCAGGTGACGCAGCTGGACCAGAGGCTGGCACTCATCACCGACATGCTTCACCAGCTGCTCTCCTTGCACGGTGGCAGCACCCCCGGCAGCGGCGGCCCCCCCAGAGAGGGCGGGGCCCACATCACCCAGCCCTGCGGCAGTGGCGGCTCCGTCGACCCTGAGCTCTTCCTGCCCAGCAACACCCTGCCCACCTACGAGCAGCTGACCGTGCCCAGGAGGGGCCCCGATGAGGGGTCCTGAGGAGGGGATGGGGCTGGGGGATGGGCCTGAGTGAGAGGGGAGGCCAAGAGTGGCCCCACCTGGCCCTCTCTGAAGGAGGCCACCTCCTAAAAGGCCCAGAGAGAAGAGCCCCACTCTCAGAGGCCCCAATACCCCATGGACCATGCTGTCTGGCACAGCCTGCACTTGGGGGCTCAGCAAGGCCACCTCTTCCTGGCCGGTGTGGGGGCCCCGTCTCAGGTGTGAGTTGTTACCCCAAGCGCCCTGGCCCCCACATGGTGATGTTGACATCACTGGCATGGTGGTTGGGACCCAGTGGCAGGGCACAGGGCCTGGCCCATGTATGGCCAGGAAGTAGCACAGGCTGAGTGCAGGCCCACCCTGCTTGGCCCAGGGGGCTTCCTGAGGGGAGACAGAGCAACCCCTGGACCCCAGCCTCAAATCCAGGACCCTGCCAGGCACAGGCAGGGCAGGACCAGCCCACGCTGACTACAGGGCCGCCGGCAATAAAAGCCCAGGAGCCCATTTGGAGGGCCTGGGCCTGGCTCCCTCACTCTCAGGAAATGCTGACCCATGGGCAGGAGACTGTGGAGACTGCTCCTGAGCCCCCAGCTTCCAGCAGGAGGGACAGTCTCACCATTTCCCCAGGGCACGTGGTTGAGTGGGGGGAACGCCCACTTCCCTGGGTTAGACTGCCAGCTCTTCCTAGCTGGAGAGGAGCCCTGCCTCTCCGCCCCTGAGCCCACTGTGCGTGGGGCTCCCGCCTCCAACCCCTCGCCCAGTCCCAGCAGCCAGCCAAACACACAGAAGGGGACTGCCACCTCCCCTTGCCAGCTGCTGAGCCGCAGAGAAGTGACGGTTCCTACACAGGACAGGGGTTCCTTCTGGGCATTACATCGCATACAAATCAATAATTTGTGGTGATTTGGATCTGTGTTTTAATGAGTTTCACAGTGTGATTTTGATTATTAATTGTGCAAGCTTTTCCTAATAAACGTGGAGAATCACAGGCTGGGCTGGGCACTGCTCTCACCTTGGTTCCTGGGGCATCCATGGGGTCTCTCACAGACAGGACCCCTGCAGTTCCCCTGGAAGCAGTGCCCAGGTGGCTGTGGAATAGGAACGCTATGTCCGTGTACTGAGGAGTAGGTCAGGGTTCAGAGGGGCTGCAAGATGCCATCGAAGGCTCTAGCTTAAGGACGTCGCTCCTGTTCTGGGCCCTGGGGCTGGCCCTGGCCATGAAGTGCAGTCACAGTGTGGTCACTGCCTGTCTTCCAGCAGACTCTATGCCCTTGCGGCAGATGGGCTCTGTCTGGGCCTCTCTGTCTGCCCCTCCCAGGCCAGGGTGGCCCTTCATCAAGGACCCACATGCTCCACTCTGGGAGCAGGCCCCACCCAGGCCCATTCCCCAGGATGCCAAGGGCTAAACTCTGGAGGGGTTGTGGTGCAAGGAAGGCCTGGGGCCCCTGAGGCTCCCATATGCTCACCCCTGGCCTCCTCCGGGCCTCTATTTCCCCATTGGTAACACGATGCTCCCTTAGCCTGTCCAGTTCTCTGAGTGGGACAGAGGGGCCACCACCCTGCTCGCCCTGACCCTGTTCCTGCAGCTTTCTGTGAGGCCCGCCTCTCCTAAGGTGGAAAGAGTGCCTCACTCTCGGCACAGACACACTCAACCGGGGCAGGTGCATCTGCTGTGCCCCCACCTCAGCTATTGGACCGTTTCTCAGTCCTTCAGGACTGCAGCCGCCTTCTGTCCTCTTTCCAGAGCCCATCCCGAAGTCTCAGGATATGAGGGCTTGGGGCATCTGAGATATCAAGGATGGGGCTGTCCTGAGTCCACTGGGGGCAGGAGGCGGCCAGCAGCAGGTGGCAGGGACAGGGGCCCCAGGTTTCTGTGTGGAGTAGGGGTGGAAGCCCTTGTTAGAGGGAAAGGCCCTGGGTCCCACCTGGTGCCAAGCCCACTGGGCCCGTGCCCCCAACCCATGGGTCTTGGCATCTGGCCTGGCCAGCACTGACCGGGATGGACGAGGTGGAGGGGCAGCACGGGGCTTCCCAGGCTTCCCTGGCCTGCACCCCTCCGGGAGGAGCGGGAGCAGCAGTTACTGAAAGGCAGGAACTGTTGTTTCCTTGTTGGGTAAATATTTGTGGAAACCCGGGGATGCCGGCCGGAAAGCAGGGCCCTCCACAGCGCCCAGGCCCCCCAGCCCCGGCCGCCCACCCCGGGACCCTGGCCCACAGGGAGCTCCGTGGGGCCGCCCATCTGGGCCGGGCGCGGCCCGGCACCCAGCCCGCCTTGTTGTCCATATTATGGACTGCGCACAAAGTGCCCGAGGACTCCTCTCCTGGACGGGCCATTGCAGCCCTCTCGGGTGTGAAATGCAATTTACCTGAAATAAAGCCCAATTATGGAATTAGCTAATTAAAGCCATGGCGGAGGCTGGGCCTGGCCGGCCGAGTGCTCAATGCCCGCCGGTGCCCGTGGACTGAGGGAACAGATGGCGCCTCGGCCCGCCGTGCCGGCCGCATTCCTTCACTCTGTCCCCCGATAAGTGACCTAGACAGCACACGACCATCTGGTGTGTGGCACGTCCTGCGGGCCCCGGACAATGGCCCGGCAGACCTCTCTGCGAGAGGGCCGTCGCCCGGGCAACGGTGGCATGTGCAGCCCCGACCCATTCACGGCCCCTCCCGCAGCCCCTTTCTTCGGGCCCTTTGTGGCCTCACCGCGGCTGCCTGGCTGCTCTGGCTGAGGATAGCCATGAGTGTTTGTCCCCAGAGCCGGCCTTTGTCTCCAAATTGGGCTCCCTTATTGAGGTCCTCGGGGTCCAATGGGTGCCAGGAGCATCTGCTGGGGGTGACTGGGGGAGGGGCTGCTCCTGCTTCCTGGGGCACCCACCTCCTCTGCCAGGCTCTCCTCCCCCGTTGCCTGCCCCCAGATGTCCCCTCGTGGGTGCTGGGCGTGGCCATGGGGAAGCCCGTCTCTAGGGCTGGCACTGGCCAAGCCCGAGGTTCTCCCATCTTCGGGCCAGGGAGCCAGGAGGAGGAGGAGTCAAGGGCGGGGCCGACCTGCAGCCCCTCAGCTCCCACCCCAGTCCTGTCTGCGAAATGGGGAACAGTAAAAGTGCCCCCTAGAAGGGGCGTACGGGGCAGGGGCTTGATGGAGATGAGACATGTGAGCACACAGTAGGTGCTTAATAAAGGAAGCCAAACAAACCACCTGGGTGGGTGATACTGGGCTCTGCCTCCTTGCTGCTCTCCTGCCTGTTGCCTCGGAGCTCCTTTCTGAGGCCCCTCCTGCATCTAGCCTTACCCCACCAAGCTCCCTGCCCCTCGGTGCCAGGGAGAGCTGTCCAAACCCAAGCTGGCAGTTCCCCATCCTGCTCTCAAGCCAACCATGACTCCCCACTGCTGAGTGGGCCTGTGAGGCCCCACAGGCTGCAACCCTGCCACTCACCCTGGGGCATCCCCCCGCCATGAGCCCAGACTTCCCCCATCCTCACCCTGGTACTTGACGTCCAGCCCCCCTCCCTACTCAGGGACCTCCTCTGAGCACCATCCTTGGCAGGCAGTCCCCCACCAGCGTGGTGGTCAGGAGTCAGGCCCACCACTGGGAGAGGGGCTGTGCTGGGCCTTTGAGGCCCCAAAAAGGAGCCGGGGCTGGCAGTGCCTAGTACAAGCCTGGCCCCAGCTGGGTGCTCAGGAAGTGCCAGTTAAATTAAGGAATAAAATGAAAAGTTGGAAGGAGGCTGCCCAGTGCTGCATGTGCAGCAGAGGTACCAGGACCCAAGCAGGGCATCACCAGGCGTCCCTCCAATGGACAGGAGAGGGGTCCACACCCTGCGCCCTGAAGGAGGGATCAGGCCAGGTGTTTTGATCTGGGGCAGCCAGACAGCTGGGGGAAGGAGCAGGAAGGCAGACAAGAGCCAGGGCTCCTGGGGCCACCACACACAGCACCCCCATCTCCAGGGGATTTGCTGAGTCACCTGCAGGGATGAAGACTGCCCTTTCTCAACTATATCAAGTCCCTAATTTGGAGTGCCCATCTGAGCTGTGCCAAAGCCTGCTCCCCCCAGCACCCCAGCCTCCTCTCAGCACAGCCCTCCGGGCTCTAGGACCCAGGGGTTCCTTGCGAATCTTTTTTTTTTTTTTTTGAGACGGAGTCTCACTCTGTCTCTCAGGCTGGAGTGCAGTGGCACGATCTCAGCTCACTGCAAGCTCCGCCTCCCGCCATTCTCCTGCCTCAGCCTCCCGAGTAGCTGGGACTACAGGCGCCCACCACCACGCCCGGCTAATTTTTTTTTGTATTTTTAGTAGAGATGGGGTTTAACCATGTCAGCCAGGATGGCCTCGATCTCCTGACCTCGTGATCCGCCCGCCTCGGCCTCCCAAAGCGCTGGGATTACAGGCATGAGCCACCGCACCCGGCCTCCTTGGGGATCTTAAGCGTGTCTCAGCCTCACCATTCTCGGCCCCCAACTGCACCAACCCCGCTCTTGCCTCTGGCCCTATTCTTGTGGCCCTGGAGGGCCAGCTAGTTGGGAGATCAGGCCTGTGGCCTGTGTCCCAGCACCCTTCACCTTTCCTGTCCCCACCCAGGTCAGCCAGGGTCCCAGGCAGCCAGGCCTGGAAGATGCTTGGGGCAGCCAAAGCCAAACAGAACTTCAGTTTCCACTGGCCTCTGAGTGCAGACAGCCGGGGGCCAGGGCCCCCTGGAAGCTGACAGGTCCCACCCCGGCCCTTCCCAACTCCACTGTGGAGCCTTGGTGAGGAAGCCTATAGGGCCCTCAGTCGGGCAGTGCAAGAAGGGCTGGGGGCTGCCACCCCANCCCAAGGCCTTAAAAGCCAAGGCCCCATCCTGTCTCACCCAAGCACTGGCTGGGTAATATGAAGGCGGGCATCCACTCTGCCCTCAAGATCCTTCTCCCTCAGTAGGTCCTGCTATGACCTCCTGGCCCTCCTCTTCAGCACCCCGTACCAGGCCTCCTACAACTCCCCTCCCCTGCAGCCCCCACAGCTCAAGGCACCTGAGTGAGGCAGAGCGTAAAGGAGATGGACAGCCTGGCCCAGGGCAGCCCTGCTGGACTCCAGGAGATGCTTGGGCCCGCTCCCCACTCTTCCTTCTAGACCCTCACCCATGGCTCCCAGAGGGGACGAGGCCGCCCTTAATTCCCAGAGCCAAGCCCAGCCCCACCGCCCACCTATCCCCAGGCTTGGGTTTCGCACACGTACAGGCAGCGAGCCCGAGGCCCAGGAAGACACAAGCCGGGCCCAGAGGTGGCCATGGATGGCTCAGTGGACAGAATCCATCCTGGTGCCTTCTGGGGCCTCAAACACACAGCTCCTTCCACTTCCCGGGAGTTGGCCCAAGGTGCAGGGGTGGGGGTGTTCACATGGATTCCANGGCTGTCTCTTGGGCACAGTGATCCCCACCTGCATGACCCATAGACCCTNGGAAACCCCCCCCACCTTCTCCTCTCCCCACTGCCGGCCCCTCCACAACATTCCCCGTGACATGCTCCTTTCCAGCCTGCAGGACGCATGGGGTCTTTCTGTGGCATTGCAGCTGAGCAGCATCAGGGCAGGAGGTGCAGGCTCTGGGAACCAGGCTCACAGCTTCATCTCCCTCCTGGGCCTGCGCCCTGGGAAGCCGGTGGCAGCGGCAAACCCACGGAGAGGAGTTAACAGGTGCCCGAGGACAGAGAAGACTCATGCTGAGGGGAGAGACCCCAGAGCAAAAAGGCCTCAGAGCTCGTGAAGCCCCCCACCCGGTACAGACAGGGAGACCAAGGCTGGGGGAAGGCCGGGCCTGTGCTGCGCCTGTTTGTGTGACTTTGCATTGGAAAAGCCTCAGAGAAGAAATGGGGCTTCCACAGCAGAGAAGGTAGCTCAGCCAGGAAGCCAGAGGGCAGGAATGAACTGACTGGCTGAAAGCAAGAGCTGGCCTTGCCAGACCTTTGGCCAGAGAGGCCAGATCTGAGGAAGAGATGTTCAAAATTCCAGGGTGGTCTGAGCACAGCTCCTCTGCTGGCCCACACAGGCCAAGAAGCCACAAAGCACTGTGCCTGCCTGATACAGCCAAGGGTCAGGTGGGCCTTCAGAACACACCGACTGGCTCCAAGAAGGCTGCTGTTGCACCTGCCACACAGAAAATCTCAAACTTCCCAGTTAGATCCTCAAGAAACTCTGTTACAGCCTGACCGCAAATGTGATTCACCAAACCCCACTGAATGACTTTTGGTTGTTTCTTAACCACATCCCTCCCCTGGCCAATGCTGACACACAGCTACACACACCTGCACACACACACACCTTCACACATACCTACACACACACCTACCCTACAAACCTGCACACACAATACACATACTTACACACCTACACCCCTACACACACCTACACATACACCTACACACCTACACCCCTACACACCGACACCCCTACACACCGACACCCCTACACACACACACATCTACACACCTACAACCCTACACACACACACACACACATCTACACACCTACACCCCGACACCGCTACACACACACACATACCTACAACACAAGAAGTGCCTCCACTGTGTGTGTGGCACGAGGCAGTGGGAATGAAGGAAAAGCTGAAGCCAGAAGCCAGGGATCCCCTCATTCACAGCCTGGCTCAGCCCCTCTCTCAGGTGCCCTGGGGCAGGAGCCAGGCTTCTCTGAGTTTCAGTCGCTCACTGCAACCACAGCTCCACAGAACTGACCCCAGGATCCTCAGTGGAAGAGAAGATATTGCAAAAGCCGGCGCCAACGCAAGACCAAACAGCAATGACAGAGCTCACTGTGCTCAGGGAGAACCATGTACTGACGTCCTCTTCAGTCCAGCAACCTGGAGCTTTGACACACAAACAGCCCCTGAGACAGAGGTCTCCGCAGCAAATCCACCCACGGGACACTTCTGCCAGGCAGAGCCTGAGTCAGCACAGGTGACCAGAGAGGGAAGGGCCCCAAATGCCATCCAGTTCTCCCAGAACAGCCGAGGGAGGTCACAAGTGGCCCAGGTGCCATGGGGAAGAGTGGCCCCATAGCAAGGCCAGGATGCCGCTGGTGTCAGAAGCCCCCCGAGCACCCAGAGGGGCAGAGGATCTGTGGGAGGAGCCTTCAGGTGGGCACTCAGGGAGCACTCACCCCAACTGTGCCCCCAGCCACCCCAAGAAGGCCTGGCCGGAAGCATCTCTGCCAGGGACAATGGGAGCAATGGGCTAGAGGTGGACTGGCCAGGCTCTGGAAGAGGAGGCTCCAGCTGGGAGAGGCCACAACCCCGGGGTGGGGCCCCTCCAGGGCACTTGAGGGTGGAACTGTGCAGCCCCTGAGTGTTGATGGGCCTGGCCTGGGCCGACCCCAGAGACTCCAGCAGAGGCCCAGGGAGCTGGACCGTAGCATCGCCCAGGGAAAGGGCCCGTCCTGGGGGTGGGCAGGAGGCTGCTTGAGAAAGGCTTCTAAAGAGGGGTTGTCAGGATGGTGGTGAATGCCATTAAATAATTTCAAAGGGTCTTAATCAAATCCCCTCTCGGTCCACGAGATCATGTCAAAGGACTCTGGAGAGGAAAAGAGGGGCAGACACTTCCCGTGCGTCTTCCACTTGACTGGCTGGCCCTGCGGCGTGGGGGCCTGCGGGCTCTCGCTCCGCCTGTAACTCCGTTTTTGACCCCAGCCAAGCCTGTCTCCTCTCTGGGCCTCCACCTCATCCTTGGGGTGAACCCACACTGCCCAGTTCAGGGAGCAGGCACCACCTCAGAGGGGGTCTGCAAGGGAAATGTCTCATCTCACCGCTTTAGGAAGAGGCCTCAGCGGCATCTCCAAACCATCGACGCAGCTGCTGAGAACCACCACTTACAGAAGGGGAAATTGAGGCATAGAAGAGCCATAGGATGGGGAGGCTCTTTCACAGCTTCCAGAGCCTGAATTTCCTGGGAACTTGGGCCTGGTGCTTGACCGTGCATTGCCTTGGTTTCTCATCTATCAAACAGGCTGAGACCACATCCTACCTCACATGGTTAGGGTGGGCTGTGAGCCAGGCAACGCAGCACATGTGATAGGTGCTTCCAGAATGTTCTACGGTGACATCTCAAGCCCACGGTCCTCAATGGTCCTGTTGGGCTCCTTCAGAATCCCCCCAGATGCCCCACATCATCTGCCCTGGACTTTTTTTTTTTTTAGAGACAGGGTCTCAGTCTGTTACCCAGGCTGGAGTACAGTGGCCTGATCACAGCTCACTGCAGCCTTGATCTCCTAGGCTCAAGTGGTCCTCCCACCTCAGCCTCCCAAGAAGTGGGGACTACAGTACACCACCACGCCTGGCTAATTTTGCTTATTTTTTTGTAGAGACAGAGTCTTGCTGTGTCGCCCAGGCTGGTCTCAAACTCTTGGGCCCAAGTGATCCTCCCACCTCGGCCTTCCAAAGCACTGCAGGTATGAGCCACCGCTCCCAGCCGCCTTGGGAATTTTTTCAAAGTATAGACACAAAACCTTCGTATTGTGTGTTCCCAAATGTCCCACAGCCGTAGGCTGGACAAAGCAGGGCCATTCACCTCCACAAAACCTTCCTATTGTGTGTTCCCAAATGTCCCACAGCCGTAGGCTGGACAAAGCAGGGCCATTCACCCCCGCCACAGCCACACACCTCTCCCACCTGGGTAGTTAACCTGCAAGTGCTAAGGGCTCTGAAACCACACAGCAGCGGCCTGTGATCCGAATTGTTCTGCAGCTGTCTGTCCTCACCCATCTGATGCTATGGAACCCATCTGTGGAGACCTTCCTGTTCTCCTGACCTTCTGCAAAGAGTTTCTCAGACAGCTGTGACCTAACTGTGTCCAGCCTCCCTATGCAAATGGAAATTCACCCATTCTGGGTTGAGGTGAGATTGGAACTCACACCCAGCCACCCCACATGCACCTTAAGAGCCAAAATCACTCTCCCAGAGCTGTTCCCGGCCCCATCAAGCAGGTGCACGGGCAACAGTCCGGGCTCAGAAGCTGCCTCCTCTCGGGCTCCCAGGCCCGGCCACTCCTCTGACACCACTGGCTACGACCACTGTTCTGGGGCAAAGACAGCCAGGTGGGCATACCCAGGTTGGGGGCTGTGGATGGAACAAATGAACCAGTGAAAGCTGGGAACACTCCCAGGAAGAGGGCTTTGTGTGCCCCCAGCCCTGGTCTCACCCCTTCCCTGGCCCTGGGATGAGGAGAGTCACCCCACAGAGGCCTTCCAGTGCAAGTGCCAGCCGGGGCCCCTCATCGACTACCTGATGCTACCATGCCCCCAGCTGATGGGACAGAGATGAGGCCCTGGAAGCTCAGCCCTCGTCCAAGGGCACCCAGTGACCAACCGCACCCGCTGGACTTCAAACTTGGAGCTCTGTGCCACCAGGAAGCCCCCTCACCCCCACCACTGAAGGAGCTCGAGAAACGCCAGACTATGCTGCTTTGGGATGTAGACCACCTGGAGCTGCAGGCAGGAGAGGCGGCCGCCAGGGGCATCGGCCCAGAAGGCCCCTCACCTCCTCCGCTGAGGGCTGCCCAGAGGCAATGTGGGTCCCAGGGGACTTTTCATCTGCATCTGGAGACCACCGTCACTCATGCTCCCTCCCTGGCCCTCCCACGACTGGTGCAGCCCCCACCCCAGAAGCCCCAGCCCCTATTCCTCTCTGTGGTTGGGAGGACATATAAGCTTAAATCACCTTGCCCTTCTCTGGGTGTCACGCTTTGTGGCCTTCCCTCGTACGTACATAATGAAAATTATTTCTTTCCTTCTGCTAATCTGCTCAGTTTAACTCGTGGCCCAAAGAACAAGGGCGGGGGGCAAGACAATTTCACTCCCTGCACTACCAGGAGCACCTGTGCCTCCGGAGGAGCCAGCAGAGAGGGCCGGCCCCAGCCCTCATCTCAGCAGAAGCCAGGCTGCGCTAGGGAGCAGAGAGGCCAGTGGGGGTCAGTCCCCAGGCCCCTGGTGCCACGAACACACTCCTCCCTCCCTCCCCCATGGCCCCCCTGCCACCATCCTTGAGGTGAAGCAGGCAGAACTGTGTCCCGAAAACGCTCCACAGCCCCCGCGTGTGTCCAGGTGGCTTCAGTTACCCGGCGCCTGGCTGGCCCAGCCTGCAGAGAGCCCTGCCAAGGCCTGGCACCGCTGTCCCGAGCGGCCCCTCTTGCCGCCAGCGAGCCCAAGAGGCCTCAGGGCACAGGCAGACTGCTTTCCCCTACGCGGACTGGCCCCTGCTCCCCAGGAAAAGGCTTCATTGTCTCCCACCCCCCGGCCACCGCCTGGCTCAGGAGACACGGGGGCTCCAAGCTGCGAGGTCACCCGGCCTTGCAGAATCCACCTGCAGCCGCACCAGTCCAGGAAACCAAATCCCAGCGGCAGATGACAGCCGAGGGTGGCAGGACAGAGTGCCCATTCAGCCTCCGCTGGAGCCGGCCTGGCCTGACCTGGCGGCCGCCTCCCCTACCTGGGCCCTCTGGTGCCTGAGCCCAGGCCTCACTTAGCCTCTGCTGACCAGAGAGAGGGCTGGGACGTGCCCCACCCTGGGGCACCCACAAGTGTGAGGATGGCTGGTGAAGGTGGCAGAGACCCTGCCCCACAACCAGGGCCTCCTGCAGCCCAGAGTGGGCTCAAGGGAGTCTCCAAGCCAAGCATTAACAGGGATCTCCTTTGAACTTGCCAAGCATTGCTGCCCCATCTTACGTATGAGGAGCCTGAGGCTGGGAACCAACTCACCTTTCAGCTGGGTGCAGCCAAGCTGGAGCCTCGCTGACTCAGGGGTCCCTCCTCAGTGAGCAGATGGAGAAGGTGGCCTGGAAAGGGCCCCAGGCTGCACAGCAGCCTGTTGTAGGGAAGAGGAGACGGGCCAAGGCATGGGGACACATGGACCCATTTCACAGACAGGCAGCTGAGGTGGCAGCCTCGGCAGCAAGCTGACAAGAAGACACCAGGACAGCCCTTGCGTGAGTTGCATCGAAGACAGGAGACCCGCCCACCCTCCCCTCCTTACCATCCTGCAGGACCTGAGACCACCAGCCATAGCTGGTCCCTCATCGCCTCCCCCTATCCCCAGCCCTGGCCTCTGCATTTGGGCAAAGGCTATGGAGGAAGAGGCTTTGGCTTTTTGGCCCTGGCTTCAGCCAAATCCCCCAAGCACCTCGTGGAGGAGAATGGCTGCACCTGGGAGCCACGTGGGCTCCATGGAGGCCCTAAAGAGACCAGGCCTCAGCCCCAGGTGAGGCTTAATACCCCCTCTCCAGGCAGAAAGTAACCATTTCTTTTCCAGTGGTTCTCCAGCTTAGGGTCTCCAGCCAGACTGGCCGCTTATGGGCCAGGTGTAAAGAGAGGGACAGAGGGGGCAGGGAAGTGCGAGTGTTCTCAGGCCACTGGGGCCCGTCCCCACCCACACCCAGTCATCAGCCCCAGGGACAGCCAGGCCCTCCGCAGTGCAGGGTACACCCCGATTCTGCAGCCGGGCCCCAGGGCCCAGTGCTTCCTCCAGGCTGCCCCGGGCTCCCTCCTGAGTGGCAGGCCCAGGCCCGGACTCTGGCCCCAACCCGCAGGCTCAGAGGCAGCCCTGCCTTCCACAGACCAGGCCACGAGTTGCCTGTCACTCAGCTCTTCTGCCTGGTTGGTCACACTGAAAAGAGCATCCCGTGGCTGGGAGGCATGGATATCAGCTCCAACTCGGCTCAGGAAGCAAGAGCTGGAAACCCAGGCGCAGGAGGCATCTTCAGGCCCGGCGCATGCTGTGGCAGCTGCCCCAGGTCCTCCCAAACGCCACCTGCCAAACTGGCCCTCCTCCCCATCTGGGTTTAGCAAACTCCTACTCATCCTCCAAAGCCCAGAGCGAAAGGGCTCCTCTTCCATGATGCTCCTCTTCCAAAAGCAGCCCAGGGTCTCCCCTACGGCACTCAGCACCCACCGCAGACACTGTCTGTGTCCTTGAAGCTGATCTCCCTGCCAGACGGGCAGCGGCCCTCGAGGGCATTGCAAATGGGATGCCTGACAAGAACAACCCTTGAGGATTAGGAAATAGGGGTCTGCTGGAAGCCAATGCAGGCTGGATCTGAGACCTCCTGAAGACAAAGCGCAGGGAGCTGTGCTCATGCTCACACTGGGCATGGGGTTCACACTGTCTGCTGAGGGCTGCTTCCCTGTCCTGGAGGATGGGAAGGACAGAGGGGAAAGAGGGGCTCACCCACATCCTGCTCTCTGCACAGTGCCCCCTCCAGCGCCTGTCCACACAGACCAGCCGCACTGCAGTCCCTCAGAAGCCATAGGGTTCCACCCCATCTATGCACCCTCTCCCTGGGTTCATGCCTGCTCCCCTGGGCCCACCCCACCCATGCGCCTACTCCCCCCACAGCCCACCCATCCCCAGAACCCTCCTTGCCCACATGCCACAGCAGTATACTTTTGAAGGCAACACTGAAGGTGGGGAGTTTCTGAAATCCTCTGTGCTTCCATCTCCTCTATGGGCGCACCCCAAGAAGTTGGGAGAGCGAGGTGCTGGTGCCCAGCCCAGCACAGATAGATGAGGCCACCGTCCAGTCTACTTCGTTTTTCCAGACATCTCACACCCATAACTGGCCTGAGGAACCTCATTCCAGCTTCCAAAGAACACGGAGTGCCAAGCACCACCACACCCCAGGCTCCACACCTCCCAGAACCCTTGTGGTAAGGGAAGGAAGGGGTTACTCTGCCCCATTTACCTAAGGGAAACTGTAAGGCCTGGATGGAGAAATGCCCCCCCTCCAGCTCACACGGCTACCANGCCAGAGACCTTTGCCCCACCACACATGTTGGCCCACAAATAAGGCAGTGAGTCATTCAGCCACATCACAGAACGGGAAATCCCCTGCCCCTTGGGAGGAGCTGGAGTCCCCACACCTGGGATCCAGTGCCAGGCTTTAGCACGGACCCCTGTGTGCCCACACCCACCCTGTCTGAACCCCCCATTAAGGGACTCGTGTTTACACACCGGTCCCTGAGTCCCCGATTTCTGAGAAAATTAATTGGCAGGGTAATTCTCACTAGAGTGTTGTTGACTTCTCCATTTGTAGCTTGCTCTTTCTGACAGTATCTGCACTGCAGAGGGAGAACCTGAAGAAGACCTCACCTGAGCTCCGAGGTGTGGATTTCTGGGCAGATTTGAGACTTTGTGGCCCCTGCTAAGGGGATATAATTGAGGGTCCCCATAAATCATGACTCGGTCTATGAGGAACCAGCACCTAGCTGCATCCCCAGCCTCTTCCTTCTTCACACCCAAGCAAAACCCCAGGTTCCAGCCCCACCTAGCAGACTGAGGGCAGGCCATGGTCCCCCCTGCTCCATTCCAGACTCCACTCTGGCTTTTCTCCTTCAGGAAACCTCCTCATAACCCTCATGCTGGGTCCGGGGCCCAGGCCCTACAGATGTGCTGGGTGCTGGTGCTGACAGACAGGACGGCAACCGTAGCTGGACCTCACCCTGGACAGCATCGCCACAACCCCCACTGGTCCACCTGGGAGAACAGAGACCCAGAGATAGCCACACACTGTCCTCTGTGCCCCTCATTGCCCCCCAGGCCTTTGGAGGTTCTGGGGGTGGCTACTGCAGTTTAATTTGGGCCACAACCCCTAATGAGCAGCCCAACGGCATGGGGGGCAGTTTGTAGGCACCCAGAGCATGAGCAATGTGGCAGAAAGTCCAGGGGGCCTTCCAGGGGCCTCCAAGTGACCCAGGTATCTGGCAGAGCCCAGCTGGCCCCAGGGCTCCCAGTCCCGGCCTCCTGCTCCCCGGCCCATTGGCCCTGGCTGCAGCCTCAGTTGTACCAGCTGGGGAGTCCCAGATTTCCTGTACCACCACCCCACACACTTGGTCCCCTAAAGACCTGATACTGAGCTCTTGCTAATCATCTGGCTGTCACTAAGCTGCCCCACAACCATTTTCAAAGAGTCCCTGATTTTTAAGGCCCATAAAACACTGTGAAATGGCCTTTTTCAAACATTGAGGGCATTAATGACCATGGCAAAAACAAAAACCTGTCCAGGTGGCCAGTTTTTAGTAGCTCCCAATACAAAATTGCCCCCACCACGCAGCCCCCACCTGTCCACGCCCCCTCCACTTACCCACCCCGAGGGATTCTAGCCAGGACCCCTGCGTCCTGAGAAATCCTTTCCAGGAGTAGGCTGGGGAATACCGGCCCAGAGGGGCGAGGACCGGATGGGGGCAGGGGTAGGGTTCAAGGGGCCAGGGTCCCAGGGGCTCTCCTGGAGGCTGCAGAGGAACCCAGCCTGGGTGGGGGGCTCCGACGCTCCACAGCCTGTCCTGGCCCGGCCAGGCCCGGCCCGGCCCGGCCCCCTGCCCAGTCGCGGCACTGCCCGGCCCGACCCCCAGACCTTCGGGGTGCCCAGTCCGAGCCTGGGCCGCTAGGGGCCGCGGGCCTGGCGGGCGGGGCGGGGGCCGGGGTCGGGGGTCCGGCGAGCTTTAATGCGCGCACAAAGCCTCATTTGCAGGTCAATGCCGCGGCACACTCGCCTCTCCCCTCGCCCGGCGCCCTTTGTCCGGCCGCGCCCGCTCCTCGCGCCAGATGGCCGCGGAAATGCTAATTTCGGGAGCCCCTGCCCCCCCACCCCCGCGTTTAATTGCGCCTTTGCAGATGGGCCGCGAGTGTGCGCTTCATGCAGATGAGCGCGGCCTCGCCGCCTTCCTCGGACCTCCGGGAGCCGCGGCCGGGCGTGCTGGGGCCGAGGGCAGGGAGGGGGCCGCTGTCCCTCCACTCGACGCGCCGCCGGGCACGGGCGGGCACCCAGCGGCCCGGGCCCGGGAAGCGCGCTTCTCTCTTTTCATTTCTCCAAAATGGGATCTTAAGTGATTCTGAATGAAAACAAATTGGCCCGCTTTCTTCTCCAAACAGACGCGCGGCGCGGTGGGGGCGGCGGGCGCGGGCCCGGGGCGGCCCGGGCGGTGGGGTTGGCTCCGGGACCCCCTGCCCGGCCCGGCCCTCGCGCCTTCTCCCCGCGGCCCGCCTTCCTCAGCCCTGGGCCGGCGGCACTTGGAGGCGGCCGGGCAAGACGGCAGACGTGGGGGCCCCTTTAACCAGAGCCAAGGATCCCCGGACTTTCTGACCAACCAGGAGCAGAAGCCCGCCAGGTCACCCTCGCCTTTCATGACAGAAACAGATTCCCAGGCTGGTCGGAGCGCAGAAATGAGGCAGGCCAGGGCCGGCCTCCGCCACCCCGCCCATCTCCAGCCCCAGCAGGAGCCTGGCCCAGGCCTCTGGCCCCACAGCGCCAGGGAGCATCCTCCGGGAGCCCAGGCCTGCCTCGAAGCCTAGGGCTGGGGCAGGCTGGGCAGAGTGAGGGAGGGAGGCAGTTTCTTTGTGATGTGTCCACTTTACTAGCAAAATTTCAACCACAAACTTAGAAAACCTATACATTGGTGGGTGATTCACTTGCTCCACCACCAGCGATGAAACAGAGACAGAGCCACGTTCTGGGTAAGTAAGAATACTCCCAATACAAAACTCAGCCACAGACCTTTAAAAAGAAAAGGGTGCCGGGCGCGGTGGCTCACGCCCGTAATCCCAACACTCTGGGAGGCCGAGGCGGGAGGACTGCTTGAGCGCAGGAGTTCCAGTCCAGCCTGCACAACCTGGCGAGGTCGCATCTCTACAAAAAATCTTCTGATTTTTTTAGCCAGGCGTAGCGGCGCGCCTGTAGTCCCAGGAAGGATCACTTGAGCCTGGGAGGTGGAGGCTACATAGAGCCATGACTGTGCCACTATACTCCAGCCCAGGTGACAGAGTAAGACCCTGTCTCAAAAGAGAAAGAAAAAAAAGAGAAAGAGAAAGAAAGAGAGAAGAAGGATGAGGAGCAGGAGGAGGAGATCCGAGGGTGGAAGAAAGGAAACAATGAAGAAGAAGATAGGGAGAGCCAGTTTGTACCAGAAGAGCTAAAGAAAGAGCACAGTAAGCGGACGTGAGAAAGAGAACATGAAAGCCAGATAGAATAGGGAGAAAGAAAGAAAGAAAGAAAGAGAAAGAAAATCATCTGTTCCTGAAACATTCTGTGATACTTTCGTAATTTGCTCAGCCAGAGGACTGAAAGTGCAGGCGGATCCCTCAGCCTTGGGCTCAGCTGGGACTGAAGTCAGCTGACAGAGTGAATCTGGCCCAACTGCCACCAGTCTGACTCTGGCACCCTGGCCCTGGCGTGACCTTCACAGCCGCACCCCCCACCCCCCACCTCCGCCTCAATGCCCACCCTCCAGCTCCACATCACTGAGCCTGCCCTGCTGCGCCCTTGCACGGGCACCCTGGCTGCCAGCTCTCCTCCACCCATTCCTCCTCTGAGTGTCCTCAGGCCCCTCAGGGGCTGCTCTTCCCTGGACACCCAGGAGCCTCAACCTTTGCCCTGTGCCACACCTCCCTCACCTGGCTCTTGAAAGGAGTCCCATCCACCTTCCCCTCAGGGTGAAGCTCAGGGCCTGGCCCACACCCCTGCTGGTACTCAAGGCCCACCTGGGGGACCTAATGGGGGGTTCCAGTAAACACCGAGGCCGAAGCCGGAAGGCTCAGCCACCCTTGTCACCCATCCTGCAGGGCACTGTCTCATGGGTGCCAGCACAGTGACATGCCGTGGGCTGGGGGAAGCTGGCTCATAAAATATGCACGGCCAGGACGCACCGTGTGAAATTTCCATGGTCACGGGATGGAAACCATTTCCTATCAATAAAATAACAGGTGCCCCGTCAGAATCCCCCTTTCATTTCTTTCCAGGAAACAGTTCAAATGGGATGGTTACACCCATTTGAGACAAACATCTCTTGGTCCTAACCCCTTGTGGTTGCTTCATTAACCAGAGGCCTCCATCTTCCTCTGGGGAAGACAGTGCAGCCCACCTGCCCTCCGCCTCCAAACCCTCCCTGGGCCCTGAGGTGCCGTGTGGACCCACTGCTGCAATCGCCATGTTCACCCCACACTCGAGGGTAGACCCAGAGCATTTGAACTGTCCTCGTACTCCCTCGGCCACTTCTCAACAACAGCGCATTCCCAATCCTGTAACCTGGGGCCTTTCCCTAACACATTTAAAAGACGCCAGCCGCCCTCTCCCGCCCTAGCACTGTCACCAGCTGCTTGTACTCAACTCTCTGCCAAACTGTTACTTTGTTTATCACACTCAGATTACGGGTCTCTTGAACAGTTTGTTATGGTTAAATACTTTCAATTAAAACAGTATATGTTTGTGTGTGTGTATACATATAGATAGACATTCTAATACTTTAAAATACGTACTTTGAGCTGGGCACAATGGTGCACACCTGTAGTCCCAGCTACTCCAGAGGCAGAGGTGAGAGAATCTCTTGAGCCCAGGAGTTCCAGTCCAGATTGGACAACATAGCAAGACCCTGTCTCTATTAAAAATATACCTTTATGCCAGATGCCTATAATCCCAGCACTTTGAGAGGCCGAGGCAGGAGGATCACTTGAGCCCAAGAATTGGAGACCAGCCTGGACAACATAGGGAGACCCTGTCTCTACAAAAAAAAAAAAAAATTAAAGATTAGCTGGGCATGGTGGCACACACCTATGGTCTCAGCCACTCGGGAGGCTGAGGTGGGTGGAGGGCTTGAGCCCAGGCGTTGGAAGCTGCAGTGAGCCATGATCGTGCCACTGCACTCCAACCTGGGTGACAGAATAAGATCCTATCTCAAAAAATATTTTTTAATTAAAATAAAATATGTGCTTTGGACTTAAAAAGTAAATGTGAGTCCCATAGATGTAAAATGATATAGAGCCCCAAAGTGCCATCTGCGCTTATCTCAGGATAGCAGCATCTATCTGGGGGAATTTTTACTGTCTTTTTTATACATTCCCATATTGTTTGCATTTTTTTTTTTTACAATGAGCATATGCTGCTATTTCTACAACCAAGGGAAATATATGGCTATTTTCAATTTGGAAATCAAAAGAAATAAAAAGCCCCACTGGCTTGCCAGCCCTGTGACCTGGGTGCTGTAGCAATAATGCCTGGAACTGGCCCCAGCCGATGAGGGACCCCAGCCACAGCCCATGCCAGAGTCCACTGTCAGGACCATCTTACGAGAGGGGCTGCCTCAGAATGGAGTCCTGGGGGCACCTCAGTAACTAAACCCCCTTGGATGGAAGCCAGGCCAGACCCACTCAGTGCCAAATTCCACTCGGGCCTGCTCTCAGTTCCAGCAAAATTCCAAAGTATATTGTTGTTATCGTTATTATTTTGCAATTACGTGACATTTTTTAAATGCCTAGACTGTTTTCTCAGCCATTTTCATTAGCTCCTTCTCACTCTGCCCAAGAGACACTTCAGCATTGTGTCTGCCACTGGGCAGGCTGGCCAAGGCTCAGAGAGGTCAACTAACCTGCCTAGGTTGCACAGCAACAGAGCAGCGGGTGCGAGAGCAGACGTCAGGGCTGGGCCCAGGTCATCCTGCAGAGCTGGGGGGTGGGTCTCGCTGTTGGGCCCTGTTGGGCTTTTATTCAGATTTAGGAATTTCTTGGGGGGCGGGGGCAGGGGCATATTTGGGAAAGAGAAGAAAAAGTATGAACCAGAGAACAGAGAAGAAAAGGCTAGGAAAGCCCAAGGCCGAAGCAAGAGAGCAAAATAAGCAGAAGACACCACGGGTGTGGGGCTGGCAGCACCGCACTGAGAGCCCCTGGCAGGGAACCAGCCCCTGGAGGTGCCCCTGCCTTCTCCCCACAGCCTGGCATGGTGCCGGCTTCCAGAGGAGCCTCGTTTCTCAGTGAGGGGGGCGGGAGGGGGTGAGACAGCATCCGTGTCTAGACGCTTATCCTTTGAGGAGAATACCAGGGTCCCCAAATGCCACTTGAGATCTCTCTGAAATGCAGGAGGCCCTGGAGCCTGCATTTGTCATCAGCCTCAGTCACCACACCTACCCCCAGCTCAGGAGCAGGTGCCACAGCTCAACCTGGCTCTCATGCTGAACCAGGTCCCCAGAGGTCTGGACATTGCCACTCACCAGCAGGCATCCCGGGCCACAGGGCAGGACGCCCAATCTGGAAGCCCAGTGTTATGGGAGGAATCGTATCCCCCAAAAATCATATGTCGAAGCCCTCACCCCCAGCACCTCAGCACATGACTGTATGTGGATACAGGGTTTTACAGAAAACAGTTAAAATGAGGCCATTGGTGTGGGCCTAATCCAACAGGACTGGGGTCTTTATAAGGAGAGGAGGACACAGGCACACTCAGAGGCATGACCCTCCCAGGACACAGGGAGAAGGTGACGTCTGCAAGCCAAGGAGAGAGGCCTCAGGAGGAACCAGCCCTGCCGACTCCTTGATCGTGGACTCCAGCCTCCAGGACTGGTAGATGATAAACATCTGCTGTCTCAGCAGCCCTGTCTGTGATGCTTTGTGATGGCAGCTCCAAGGCAGGAATACACCCAGCATCCACAGAGGGATTACATCTGTCCAGGCCCGCACAGCCAGGGCAGACAGAGAGACCACACCCCAGCCCTCCAGACCAGTGGAAACCCCCACGTACCCCTGGCTCAGAGACCTTCTCTGACTGAGCGCATGAAGCTGGCTCTTCCTGGCTAGTTTCCCTCAGATGCATCATCCCAACACCTAGGGGCACATTGTGCAAGTAGAGAGTCCCCAGTATACCATTTTCCAAGGCAGAGACAAAAAAAAAGCCATGTGCAGAGTTGACGTCTGTATACCCCTAATGCTAATTGGGGACAGTGGCATTTAGTTCTGAGTGGCTGACGGCTTTGGTGACCTGGACAATCAGGGCCTGCCTGAAGAACCAGGGGCTGCCGGAGGCGCTGGGCCTCCCTCCCACTCACCGGGGCCTTCATTAACAGCCGCGTCCAGACCAGCTGGAGTCAGCTGATTAGCCCATTCTAAGTGGCATTGGGAGTCCCCCCACCCCCTGTATCTATTTTTTCACCCGCACATGTTCAATTCAATTTTGCTTTTGTGCCAGAGAGGCCTCTGATGTGAGTGTTTCTGGGGAGTTTTTCCATGTTTCTTTATGTCCTCGAAACCAAAGTCAGTCACCAACTTTCAGAAAACACCCTCCTGGATTGAAGCGGGTAAGAGGAAAGAAAAACACACAACACAAAACAAAAGCAAAAGAAAACAAAAGAGAAAGCACTGGCTGCCTTTCTACAGAATCCTCCTGCGAGGAGACAATTCATTTCAATTGAAACGTTTCCATTGTGCGGCATTCGGAACGCGCTCCTCGCGTTGGGCAGAAATGCAAATCCCCCTTTTTCCTTTGATTCAAATATTTAAATTTTCAAATATATATGCTGCGACAATTGAATGGCAGCTGACCTCACTTATTTTCATAGAAGCAATGCGGAAGCCACAGGCTGCAGTTAATCTCGCCAGCAGCGCCCCGCCTGCTGACAGCGGTACGGTCAGTCCTGGGGGGGCGCAGGGAATAATCCTTTTATTCAGACATTTGGCTTAAAAGAATAACAAGGAGGAAAAGCTGGAACATAATTGCATTGCATGGAAAACAGAGAAAGATTTTTTTCTCTCTCTCTAACAAGCTTTCTCCTTTTCCTTCCTCAAAGAATCGGAGGCTCACGGCCAGAGGCTGTTTTCTTGGTAAAGAAATCGGGAGTGTTTTCCTTCCACTATTGTCCCCACTCCCGCCCACCCCCCGAGGGATTTTCATAGTTGGGTTGGCTGCCACACTGGCTCATCCATTCATTCATTCATTCACTCACTCACTCATTCTGCAAACTCGGAAGGAAGACCTACTGTCTGTCCAGCTCAGCTGGGCTGGGGGCAGGGGAAGCCAGACACTCCCCAGGCAGCCTTCCTCTCCTGGACTGGGACGCCCCCACAGAGCCACACCGTGACCCTCGGAGGCACCCTGAAGCATAACTGGGCCAACCGTGCCTGCAGGAAGCCCCTTTGTTCCTCCTTGGGGCCCCAGAGCACCTGAGTGAAAGAGTCTGAGACCGGAGGGGCAGCCAGAGGGGGCCCTGGAGGGAGGAGGAGGGACCCCCTCCCTGGGCCAGCCAGGCCAGCGTCTGCCAGAGTCGCTGTTGCTAAGTCCTCTTCTTGCAGCCTGGGGATCCCAGAGGACCCCGGCCCAGTCCATCAGCTGGGCTGGGTCTTTAATATTTAAAGAGCTCTCCCGGACATTTCAAGAACTCCCCGACACGATTTTCTGTGATGCGTGGGCTGTCGGGACATCTGTCTTCTATACCTAATAAAGTCGCCCGACGCAGAATGAACTCCTCGGCATCGCTTTGAATCCGGGCTCACATATGGTTGCTAATTAGCTGGCTATCTCTTGGAGTTAAATGATTTTTTTTCTCGCCCCGTTCGCATCCATAATAGACGCGAACAGAGTCGTGATTGTTCCCTGTTGCGGGACATTCTGCGCCTGAATGAGCGGGGGCTGCTGTGTCGACGCGGATTTGCCATATGGTTGCGCGGAGCCAGGAAGAATGGGCCCCTGTGTGTGCGACCGGGACGCAGCGGCGCGGGCCGTGCCAGCCGGGCGGAGCCGGGTGCCCGACGGCGCAGGACGAGCGGGCGCAGGACGAGCGAGCGCAGCGGGCGCGGGCGCACCGTCGGGGCGCGGGGACCCCGAGGGCCAGCGGAGCCGTGCTGCGCGCAGGGATGGACGCTGGGCGCCCAAGGCCCGTTCCCGTGGACAGGCGCGCGGAGGGCAGCAGGACCGATGCACCGACGGACGCACCGACGGACGCGCGGACAGATGCGCCGACCGCAGGCTCTCCCGCCGTCCCGGGGCCGTCGTGCCCGTGCAGGCCGCGAGCAGCGGCGGGGCCGGCTCTGCGGCTGCAGCAGCCCCATTGTGAGGCCGGCGAGACAATGGGCGGCCCGAGGAGGCACCTGCTCGCCTGAAAGGCCCATAAATCGCCGCCGCGTCCAGCTGCCTTCCCGCCCCTCCCCGCGGACCCGCTAGCGGGAAGCGCGGCCGCGGCCGGGAGGGGGAGGCTCGGTCCGACAGTCGGGCAGGGCCGCCTGGGCCACCGACGCGCGCTCCCTCCCGCCTGGGCGGGTCTGGACTCTGGCCGCGTCTAGTACTGCCTCCAGCCTCCCCTCTGGAGTCTGCACTCCAGGCTTCTTCCCGGCCGGTGGCCAAGGCCCCAGCACCACGGTCCCTCCTGTCGGGCATCCAGCACCTACCCTTCCACTGGGCGGCTCCTGGTTCTGGTCCCGGCTGGCTCACTCAGGCTGCCTTTGGACCAGATTCTTGAACTTTTCCACCAAGGATGTTGCTGCTGTTTGTAGCGTCGGATCCTGGAAAATCGCTGTGTTGGGGAGCAGCANGCTCTCCCTTGCTCCCCCAGGGGCCTGNGGAAAATCAACCCACCTCTGCCCCCCGACCCCACGGCTGTAACCTGGTGTCTGGTAGCCCCACTGTGATAAACCGAAGCCCAGCACAGTTTGGGACTCGCCCCGAGTTGACTTATGCAGCCCCCAGAACAGAGGCTGAAACCCGGCGCATCCTGGTGAAGCCACACCCAGCCGGCCTGGTCCCAGGCCCCGGGCACGGGGTCCCCTCCACTCCCATCTGCTTCCCTTTCAGAGCCGGGGCTGAGTCGGCAGGGACGCAGGCTCAGGGCCCTGGATTCCCGCTTTCTGGACACTTGCGTGCATGCCCAGCACCAGCTCGCCCTTCTGAGAAAGCAATCCCTCCTCAGAGGGGAGAAGCCGTGGCTGTGATGGGCAGGAAGTGGTCAGGACCCACTGCCGAGCACCAACTCCCCATGCCACCACCAGGGGTGCGCCTGGACTCCTGGAAAGGGGTCGCGTCAGGGTGCAGCCCATCAAAGGCTTCCCAAGAGGCAAGAGGCAAGGAGAAGTGTCCTACTTTAAACGGCCAGCCTCAGGTGAGCACCAGAGATCGGGCCCAGACCTGTGTAGAGAAAAGGAGGCAATGGCCCCTGGCTACAGACAAGGACCCTGAGGCTGCCCTCTTCCCTCTGCACCTTTGGTTAGGCACTGCCTCTCTGTGTGGAAGGAGCAGGACTCGGTCCCAAGACCATTTGGCCACGCTGTGCCCTCGGGACCAGCACGTGCTGGCACCCCGATCCCACTGGGACTCTCTTCCAGGAAAAGGCTTGTGTTCAGTTCCCAGGGCTCTGCCAACACCAGCCCTGTGCTGGCTGCCTGCAGCAGGCACCCCATGGGGACCACATCCCTGGGCCTGGAGGAGCTGGCTGAGACAGAGGCGGGCCCGAGGCCAGGCCTTTGCCCGCCACTGCTGCTCCAGGCACTCCTGGAAGGCTCTGAGCATGCTCCTTAGGTCTCCCGGCTGCAGGGAGGACACTCACTCCCACCCCCAGGTGTCTGGTGCTTTGATTTTAATTATTTCTAGCCTTCCAGTGCCATCTCTTATCGCCCCCTCCCCAGTCTCCTAATAAAGGGCCAGCGCCCCCCGCCTTCCTCTAGCCTCCCTGACATATTAGAAGAATGTTTTTCCATTTCCTTTGATGTCTGTTACAAGTTGCATCTCATTTCCTGCTTGGGCATTTCTGACCTCGAGTGACTCCGGCCGCCGTGGCTGCGTGGCTGGTCTGCTCCTCATACCCCGCCCAGACGCCAGCTTGAGAGGATTTGGTCCTCCGTGTGCCGCCACCGCCAACTCAGTTTCCCCCTACCCTCCCCACTTTGTTTTCTGGGGCTCCAAGGGGGAGGTCAGGCCCTCAACCCTGTTTCCATGGAGAGGGCTCCTCACGGGGGGCGGGGGGGCATCCCTCCATGGGACAGGGAGGGCTCCTCACGGTTGAGGGGGGCGCCCATCCTTCTATGGGGCTTCCTAAAGACCTGCATTCTTCCCTTCATTTTTCTGGGATTACTCCCCTTTCAGTGGTCGGCCCTGTTCACTCTGCCACCTCAGAGAGAGTGAACCCAGCAGAGGTGTGACGGGAGGCTGGGGAGAGACCCCAGCACCTTGAGCACACAGGAGCCAGGAGGAGCCCAACAGAGCAGCAGGGGCTGGGGTCTTCTCCTGAAGCCTGACTCCATGGGACCCCAAAGAAGCAGATGGAAAACTGAAAAAGAAAACCCCTCAAGTGAGCCACTGGAAAGAAAGCAAAACAAGAGAAAATAAATGAGTTGTTTGACATAATTTAACTTGTCTGTTTTTCCATCTTCCTTCCTGCTCACCCCACCATCACCGTGGCCCCATCTAGTTGAGGCACACAGCTCTGGGCTTAAAGGAACCAAGGGGCATGTCTCAGAGCAGTCTCCAAATTGGGTGCTAGGACCCAAGAAATGCAGAGAGGGCAGTGGCTGTGAGAGAGGTTTGCATAAGAAAACAGACAAGACAGAACTTGGTTTTATCTTTTTTTTTTTTTTTTTTTTTTTGAGACAGAGTTCTGCTCTTGTTGCCCAGGCCAGAGTGCAATGGTGTGGTCTGGGCTCACTGCAACCTCTGCCCCCCGGGTTCAAGCGATTCTCCTGCCTCAGCCTCCCTCTCGAGTAGCTGGGATTACAGGCGCCCACCACCACACTCAGCTAATTTTTTTTTTTTTTTTTTTTGTAATTTTAGTAGAGACAGGGTTTTGCCATGGTGGCCAGGCTGGTCTCGAACTCTTGACCTCAGGTGATCTGCCCGCCTGAGCCACCCAAAGTACTGGGATTACAGGCATGATCCACCACGCATGGCCAGTTTTGCCTTAAAACCACAGCTAGACTCCTCCACAGGGACCAGGACCTAGGCCATGTCTGTCCTGGCTGCAGAGGTGGGTCAGCCCCATACAGTGCTCTCTGGAAGAGAAACAGGGAGCAGCGTGGCTCCTGCACAGAGGCACCTGGCTGGCCCTTGGCCTACTGGTAGCCTCCAAGGGTAGATGCCAGGTATCTCAGTCCATTTGTGCCACAGTAACAAAATACCTGAGACTGGGTGATTTATTTTCTATTTTTTATTTATTTATTTATTTATTTATTTTTGAGATGGGGTTTTGCTCTTGCTGCCCAGATTGGAGTGTGATGGCACGATCTTGGCTCACTGCAACCTCTGCCTCCCAGGTTCAAGCGATTCTCCTGCCTCAGCCTCCTGACTAGCTGGGATTACAGGCATGTGCCACCACACCCGGCTAATTTTGTATTTTTAGTAGAGATGAGGTTTCTCCATGTTTGTCAGGCTGGTCTCGAACTCCTGACCTCAGGTAATCCACCCACCTTGGCTTCCCAAAGTGCTGGGATTACAGGTGTGAGCCACTGCGCCTGGCTAATTTTCTAGGTTTAGTAGAGATGGGGTTTCTCCATGTTGGTCAGGCTGGTCTTGAACTCCTGACCTCAGGTGATCCACGAGACTGGGTGATTTATAAATAACAGAAATGTATTTCTCACCGTTCTGGAGGCTGGGAAGTCCAAGATCAAGGTGCCAGTGCAATCAGGGTCTGGTGAGGGCTCTCTGCTTCCAAGATGGCACTGTGTTGTAAGTGAAGCGAACGCTTTGGGAAGCCTCTTTTATAAAAGCTTTAATCTCACTCAGAGGGAGGAACCCTCAGGCTTAAATACCTCCTAAAGGCCCTATTTCTTTCTCTCTTCTTTTTTTTTTTTTTTTTTTTTTTGTGAGACACAGTCTTGCTCTGTTGCCCAGGCTGGAATACAGTCGTACCATCTCAGCTCACTGCAACCTCCACCTCCTGGGTTCAAGCCAAGCAGTTCTCCCTGCCTCAGACTTCCAAGTACCTAGGTAACAGGTGCCCACCACCATGCCCAGTTAATTTTTGTATTTTTAGTAGAGATGGGGTTTCACCATGTTGGCCAGGCTGGTCTCAAACTCCTGACGTCAGGTGATCTGCCCACTTCGACCTCCCAAAGTGCTGGGATTACAGGCATGAGCCACTGTGCCTGGCCCTTTTTTTTTTTTTTTTTTTTTTTTTTTGACAGGATCTGGCTCTCTGGCTCTGTCAACCAGGCTGTGGTACAGTGGCACGGTCATGGCTCACTGCAACCTCCACCTCCCAGGCTTGAGTGATCCTCCCATCTCAGCCTCCTGACTAGCACGCATCACCACACCTGGCTAATATTTCTTTTTTTGTAGAGAAAAGTTCTCCCTACATTGCCCAGGCTGGTCTGAAAATCCTGGGCTCAAGCAATCCACTCACCTCAGCCTCCCAAAGTGCTGAGATCACAGGCTTGAGCTACTGCGCCCAGCTTCCCACTTACATTAATACTATCACATTGGCCAGTAAGTTTCAGACACGAATTCTGGAGGGGACATAGTCAAACCCAGCACCAGGTCTCAGGTGTCCTTACTTCTCCCTCTGCAATTCCGGCTTCACCACAGCCCTCAGGTGTAAGGCCTTGTTGTCCAGACCATGTGCTTTTTCCCAGGACTGAGAGTGAAGTGCTGAGGTTGCATGATAAAAACCCATGTGACTATATGACCATTAAAGTGAATAGCCCCCAGAGCACTGGGCGGTGGGGACCGGGGCTCCCTCCTACACAGACAGACCAATTAAGGTCTTCCAGGCCTGCATGTAGGCCAGGCTACAGGGATGGAATCAGCACCCAGCTAGAGCAGAAGGGTCTAAAGGAACCAAAAGGGGTTCTGGGACAAATCTCAAACCATGGGCAAGCTTCGCTCAAGCACTCAAGGAACATTCGAGCTAGATGGGCCCTCAGAGACTCAGATCNTATTTCTTCGTNTCAGTGAGAGAGATTGAGGCCCAGTGAGGNTTCTGCACCNTAGACAGGCCCCATCCTTAGAGGGACCAGTGAGGNGAAGTCAGACCCCAGCAAGACGGAGGAAGTCCCAAATTGGAGACAATCAGAAAGACAACACCAGTGCAGACCNNTAAACNCAACACCCCACGTGCTCCAAGTTGGGCTCCAGTCGCATAAGGATGAGCTGGGCCCATGCAAACTCCCTGTGTGTTTCCTGCATGTGGGCCACCAGGCAACCACCCTCTAACTTGAACCCCTGCCCACAGACCCCAGTACCACCCAATGGTTGGCCAGGGGCACCCCCAAAGGATTGGATCATGCCGAAGGTAGCCACAGGCAGATGACAGTGTCAAAGGGAAGGGGGATAAGTGGTTTTTGTTCACGCAGACCATAGGAGTGAAGGTTGTAGCATTCCCAAATGTAAGTCCGCGTGGCTAAGACCACGGGCAGGGCTCCCCAGCTGGCCTGGCTCCCAGTGTCTGTGCATTATCGTGTGCGTGTGAGGCATTTCCACTTGGATTACTATTTCAGCTCCCAAAAATGGATCAGTGGCTCACAGGAGGATCCAGGAAGCAGCAAATATTGACCCGTCAGGATTTCAACGTGAACGTGGGAGGTCCCCTACATGCAGGGACCGTCCACCAAGTGTGACACTGGACACAGGATGTCCTGGATTTGTCCCAAGTGCATGGTCTCTTAAGACACTTGGCCACATGGTGGCGTGAGGCCAGCAGTGGTTTTGTGTCATTTTCAAGCAAAGCCCAGGGCCTTCCCTGGGAGCTAGCATTGTTATTCTAGAATGAGTGGAAAGGGACACTTTCCAGGGCAAAGCTGATGTGCACCACACTGAAGATGGGAAAGAACCCACGCTGTATCTTCCTGTCCACATTGCATTTGTAAGAATGAAACTTGCGTGAGTTGCACGGAGGAAGAATTTGCAGTTGGGGGAATGCAGTGTCTGGGATCTGCTTTTTTTGTTGTTGGTTTTTTTCAATAGAGACAGGGTCTCGCTATGTTGCCCAGGCTGATCTCCAACTCCTGGGCTCAAGCAGTCCTTCTACCTCAATCTCCCAAAGTGCTGGGATTACAGGCATCACCCACTGTGCTCAGCCAGGGATCTGCTTTATGAAACTGCAGAAAGGAAAAAAAAGTAAAAGTGGAGGTGGGAAACAGATTGACAAGATTGGAAAAATGTTAATGATGGTTGAAACTGGCTGGTGATGTACTATTCTATTGCTTTTGAGTATGTTTGCAAATTTCCATAAGAATGCTTTGTAAGGAAGTAGCAGTGATACTGTTACATATTGCTGAGAAAATGTAAAACCAAATACAAAGTTAACAAAAAGAGATAAATTATGTACATATAGACAATATATGCACACATACATACATGTGTTGTGTGTATACATACACATTATGTGTACGTGTGTATGTCTATAACATATAGACACATACATGTTATGTACACGCACATAAAAGAAGGCAGAAAGGCTGTGGGCAGATACCCTGATCAAGAGTTTTTGTGACATCATCACAGTGGCCTTGCAGCCCTTACTCAGGGGTCCTTGCTGACATGAACTCACAGCAGTGTGCCTCTCAACTAGGCCTGCATCTTTCTAATTTGCTAGACAGGAAGCCACTCCTGGCACTTGGTCAGGTCAAACACAAGAAGTGTTTGATGATTTTTTTTTAATTCTGTTAATTACTGAAAATCCATGCTAGAGGAAAAAAATTGTTTTTATTTTGAATTTACTTATTTATTGAGACAGAGTCTTGCTCTGCTGCCCAGGCTGGAATGCAGTGGTGTGATCACGACTCACTGCAGACTTGACTTCCCAGGCTCAAGCAATCCTCCCATCTCAGCCCCCAAGTAGCTGGGACCACAGGTACACGCCACCACGCCCAGATAATTTTTATATTTTTTGTAGTGACAGGGTCTCACTGTATTGCCTAGGCTGGTCTCAAACTTCTGAGCTCAAGTGATCCTCACACCTTGGCCTCCCAAAGTGCTGGGATTATAGGCTGTTTTGAATTCAGGTAACAATTGCTTGTGGGTCCTGAAGTAAACCCCCCCAAACATGCTGGCTATCAATCAATCACCAGGGTTGGGTTCTGTAAGAAGGGTGTTGGGGCAAAGATGGCTGCAAACCCTTTGCCACTCAAGCAGAAAGGATCCCCCTGCCATGAATCTGGGATGGTGTCAGTAGCTTGCTTGATCAATCAAATGAGGCAGACATGATGCTGCATAGCTTCCGAGGCCAGGTCTCTAGAGCTGCTCCTAGGCCTCCTGGAACACCTGCTCTTGAAACCCAGCTGCCATGCCATGAGGAAGCCCAAGCAGGCCTGCGAAGGGAGCCACAGGCAGCAGCTCCCAGGGCTTTGCCAGGCATGGGAGTGGGCCATATTGGAAGTTGATTCCTCAACCCCAATCAAACTACTCTAGCTGACATCCCATAACACAGAGCCAAGCTATTCTGCCAACTGTTCCCCAATTTCTGATAGAATCATAGGTATAAATAAAACCACTGGGTTTTTTTGTTTGTTTTTTTGTTTTTTTGAGGTGGAGTCTTGCTCTGTCGCCCAGGCTGGAGTGCAGTGGTGCAATCTCGGCTCACTGCAAGCTCCGGCCTCCTGGGTTCAGGCCATTCTCAGCCTCAGCCTCCCGAGTAGCTGGGACTACAGGCGCCCACCACCACGCCCAGCTGATTTTTTGTATTTTTTTGGTAGAGACGGGGTTTCACCACGTTAGTCAGGATGGTTTCAATTTCCTGACTTCGTAATCCTCCCACCTCGGCCTCCCAAAGTGCTAGGATTACAGGCGTGAGCCACCGCACCCGGCTAAAACCACTGTTTTAAACCACAAAGTGTTGGGATAGTTGTTTACTTGGCAGGAGATCATGAGAACAGGTGTAATCATGCTAACAGAAGAGGAGGTACCGGCTGCCTGTCCACACCCGACTTTATGCCTCAGTGTTGAACAGCAGAGTAGTGGCTGTGATTTGGGGCAGAAGGGAATGGTGAGTACACACAGCTGTCTGACACTGGAGCAGGCAAGCCCTGCCAAGAAAGTCCTGCCCCTGAGGGCTTTCAAGTAACAGCTAAGATCAGAGCGTTTTCTTCCTGGCGCCACTAGGTCATCAGAGGCCATTTTCATTTTTTATCCCAAGGGGCTTGCCCATGGAGCAGAGCTTGGTGATATAATCAATATCTCAGCTGCCCCTGAAACAACCACTTCAAGGCTTAAATAACACAATTTTTAATTTTCAGAATAAGCAATTGCGATTTTTTTTTTTTTTTTGAGACGGAGTCTTGCTCCGTCGCCCAGGCTGGAGTGCAGTGGTGCCATCTTGGCTCACTGCAACCTCTGCCTCTCGGGTTCAAGCGATTCTCCTGCCTTAGCCTCCCAAGTAGCTGGGATTACAGGCACGTACCACCATGTCTGGCTAATTTTTTGTATTTTTATTAGAGACGGGGTTTCACCGTGTTAGCCAGGATGGTCTTGATCTCCTGACCTCGTGATCTGACTGCCTCAGCCTCCCAAAGTGCTGGGAGTACAGGAATGAGCCACCTCGCCCAGCCACTTTTTTTTTTTTTTTTTTTTTTTGAGACAGGGTCTCGCTCACACTGTCGCCCAGGCTGGAGTACAGTGGCACAACTGATCATGGCTCACTGCAATCTCCGCTTCCCGAGCTCAAGTGATCCTTCCATCTCAGTCCCCCAGGGAGCTGGGACCACAGGTGCACACACACCACCAAAGCTGGCTAATTTTTAAAATTTTTTTACAGATGGAGTCTTGCTATATTGCCCCAAGCTGGTCTCAAACTCCTGGGCTCAAGTGATCCTCCCACCTCAGCCTCCCAAAGTGCTTTGATTACAGGCATGAGCGTCCGCACCCAGCCAGGATTTCTTCAGGATGCTAGAGTGTGGGCAGCCAGCTCCATCTCTGAGACTTTGACCCTTCCCCAAATCACAATCATTTTATTCCTTCATCAAAGAAAAAAAAGATGACTTACTAGACAGTTGTTAAGGCACTCACATAAAACTACACGATAGCAGGATAGATGGTAACCAAGAGGGAACTCAGGACCCGTCACTACCAGCTGGAAACACCTGACCTCCAGCCTGCAAATGTGACAAGCTAGACCAACACCAGCAGGACACTGAACACAGCTTGCAGGGATGAGTCTCTGCGTCATTTCTGGACATGTGTCCAAGTAACCAGAACAACTCAAAATGCCACCAGGCCCTTGCTGTCATTCCCATAAACCTCGAACAGTGAGTTGGGTCTTCAAGGAACCTGTCTCTGTCAGCTTACCTTATGCTGCATAACAAACAGGCCCAAAGCTCTTGGCAGCGTACATCAAGCATGGAGGATCTCTCACTCACCACGACAGTCCCTTCGCTGGAGGGCTGGGGTTGTACTCCATTTTCTCTTTTGGAAGGGGCGGCCCCTGTCTGAGGTCTCATTTGTCTCACAGCAGAGGGATGAAACGGCAGGACCCTGGCTTTGACGGGCTCCATTTGGCAATGGTACATGCCAAGTGGGTCACGTTTCACTGCCCAGAGCAAGTTACATGGCCACGTCTGATATTGACGTGCGGGAAATGCAGAATCTTCCTGCATTTGGGGAGGCAGATATTTGGACAACATGCAATTCATTACAGGGCCAGCTGGATGAAGAACGGCCAAGGGCCCAGGCTCTTCACCCCGAGCCAGGCCGAACCAGCCGGGGCCGTGAGATCAAGCCACGGTCATCAGTGTTCGTTTGGAATTATGCCTTGTCCTTGCCGTGTCCACATTGTAGTAGGGTTTCTGTTTTTTAATTCATCTGAAATTGGTGGTGGGTGTGGTACACAGATGAGAAACAGGAACTCTCCACGCTGGGCTTTAACAGGAGCTGCGGTGGGAACACAAATGGTGCAGCCACTTTGGAAGATAGTTTGGTGGCTCCTTACAAAACTAAATGTACCCTTCACATATGATCCGCCACACACCATCCAGCAATTGTACCCCTTGGTATTTGCCCAGATGAGTCAAAAACTTGCATCCACACAAAAACTTGCACGTGGATGTTGATAGCAGCTTTATTCATAATTGCCCAAACCTGGAAGCCTTCAGGAGGTGAGTGGGTAAACAAACTGTGGTGCCTCCGGTCAGCGGAATATTATTCAGTGCTAAAAAGAAATGAGCTCAAGTCATGGAAAGACATGAAAGAACCTTAAGTATTATTAAGTCAAAGAAGCCAATCTGAAAAGGCTGATGCTGTATGAGTTCACATCTATGACATTATAGAAAAGGCAAAACTACAAAGACAGTAAAAGGATCAGTGGTTGCAGGAGCTAGGGAGGAGGGAGGGATGAATAGGTGGGGTCACAGAGGATTTTTAGGGCAGTGAAACTACCTTGTATGATACTGTAATGGTGGACACAGGACAGTAAGCATTTGTCCAAACCCGTAGAATGTACGGCACTGAGAACGGACCCTCCTGTAACCTATGGACTTCAGTTAATAATATTGAACCAAAAAATAACTAACAATAAAACAGTGCTCTTCAGACACCATTACCTGCTATGTCACCTGCTGGGAGCTGGAGGAGGGGCTTCCTAGCCCCTCCTGTTTTAAAGGCTAGGCTGGTGCTTGGCTCAGCTCTGTCCCACCCCCCCACACCAACCACCTTTGTATGCACCACAGCCCACTGGAGGGGTTTTCTGATGTCACCAGTGGAGAAAGCGCCTGCAGCAGGGACTGCTGTCTCTCTATTCATTGCTAAGTCTCTGGTGCCTGGAACAGGGGCTGGCATGCTGGAGCCTCTTGGAGTGTCCACCCAACCCAGTGCCTCTGCCCTCTGCCTGGATGGCCACAGTGTCCTTCTGGTCCCCTCACCCCCTTCCCTCTTGCTGGCGCTCCTCCTTCCTCACCCAGCAGCTGAGATGCTTCTACTACTCCCTGCTTCAGTCCCTCCGGGGCTCCCCACTGCTGGCTGACAAAATCCAATCTTTGGCACCAGTCCATCAGGCCCGGGGAGGTACAGGAGACCAGTAGGACAGGGCAGGGAAGGGGGAGGCCCAGCAGGCGACACCCAAAAGACACCCTTACACTGAACCACATGTACGCCCGTGTGCCGGCCTCACACACACCAGCAGGCCAGGCCCACCAAGGCCCCCTGGCACCAGCAGCCTCCCCTGCCTTATCTCTCCTGCCTCACCCTGATCCCCTGGCTCCGACACATTCACCCTTCTCCCTCATCACTTTCATCTGGACTGTCTGTAGGTTAACGGAGCAACTGCCTGTCTTCCCAGCCCAGTCCAGGGGACAGGATAGTGCAATGGTTTCCAGGCCCGGCCCCAGAGCACCCCAGCCCAACATCCCTCTGCCCTGCCAAGGTCAGGAGTGTGACCTCAGGTGGATTACTCCATGCCTCAGTTTCCTCTTCAAACAAGGAAAACAGTGGGACCTGGTTGACGCTGATCCTGCTTAGCATATGCCTGGCACAGAGAAAAGCCATTGCTGTGTGCCTGGCGGTCCTGGTGTCATCGCTCATATGATGGTTGTGGATCCCCAGTGGAGCTGGAGCGTGACTCCCACACGGCAGACCCATGAGTGTGCTGGCTGCCAGCCGGTGCCTGTGTTTTCAGCTTGGATGAGGCCTGGGGGCCAGGACGCACGCTCCTATCTGCTCTTTCCCAACAGCATGGGTGAGAAGAGAGCTTTGCAAACAGTGCCATCAGGTATTATTTCCATGGCTGTCCCCACGTGAGAATCACAGAACACAGTGCTGGAAAAAACCCTGGACGTTTCTCAGCCCAGATGGGGAAACCGAGGCCCCCCAGAAGGAAAGGCTAGCTTGCCTGGGTCACATGTGCCCAGAGTCCCACGTGTGACTAGCAGCCCATGGAGGCTGGTGGCCTGTGCATCCCTGCAGCCAGCTCCTGCCCTGGGGAGAAACTCCTCCTGAGAAATGGCGCTGGGCCTCACCTTCACGTCCCCACAAAGGCCTCACACTGCTTTTGAGAAAGGTACCCTTGAGTGACAAGAGGGTGCTGGGCAACCACATGTCCTGTGCCCAAGGGCCAGGACTGCAAGAAGCTAAGCAAGGTAGGAGCCCCGCCGGCCCCAGCTGCAGCAGGAGGCCTGGCAGCAGATGCAGCTGTGGATGATGAGGCCCCAACCCAGCAGATCGGTCACCACAAACAGTTAACTCAGGTTACGCTGTGCACCCACTAACTGCCTGCCAGGCACCCGGTCCAGCATCATCCCAGCCCGTGGCAGTAGGCACTGCCACCTCCGTTTATGTCAGAAGGGAAAAGGCTTTGTCCTCCTCACACAGGTGAATGTGGAGGTTTCTCCCCTGTGGGAGAGGTTGGAAGGCCGAAGCCAGGTCTACATGGGTCTGGTCCCTCATTACCGTCAGCTGAGGGTCCCTGTTGCTGAGCCGAAGCAGCGAGACCTGCCACTCTCAGGTCCCGGGGGCATTTCCCGGAGTCTGGCCCCAGCTGGGCCTCGAGGCCAGGCCCATCACCCTCCCCGCCCAGCCCTTCCAGGCAGCTGGGGGGAGCTCAGTTAATTACATGTCTAAATACATCTCGACCATCTCAAGTTGAGCCCCCCTTTGTCCCTGCCCCCGGTGGAGGTGGGAGGAGGAAGTCAGCAACTGTCACGTAGGGCCCCGTAAGGGTCCACCAGTTCTTTTCTTCTCCCAGCCCAAGGCACCAGCAAAAATACTGCTAGCCGTTCTGTTTTTGCTATTTTACATCACCCTTTCCATTGTAAGCCATAATTTTCAGAGGTTTATAGGTCAGCTATTAAAATAATAAACGTCTCTTTTACTAAGAAGGAACGCTTTGAAACTCCGGGCTGGTATGGTGGACAGTGGGGGCGCACAGGGGTGCACTCAGCCTCGACTTCTTCCACCAAAGCCTGGTTATCAGAAACCACCCCTCCCCATGTCCTCCTGATTCCAGGGCACCTCCCCCTTGTGCTCCCATTTCTGCCTCCCCTCAGAGGCTTCGAGGCTGCCCCTCCTCCACTGCAGGTGTGACTAGACCTTGAACACTTTGAGTGTCTTGTGGCAAGACCTAGGGAGACCCTGGCCCACAAAAACAGGAGACCCTGGTGCAAGGCCTGAAGAAATCTGGAGGACTGGCTGTGTCTTGGTGGACCCTGCTCCACACCCTCCACCTCAGCGCATCCTCAAACTAGCAGGGGCTTGAGCCCATCAGCAGAGGGGTTGCGGGTGGTTTCCTTGAAACAAGCCTGGGTCTGGGCAGCAAGTCAGGGGCTGTGCTCCCTGCCTCCTGGGGCTACATGAAATCCAGGCTTGTCTTTCTGCAGCCCCGCATGTGAGAGGTGATAAATGCAGGGTGCAGTGCAGGCCGGCCGCCCCTCCTGAGATAAGGGGACTGGAGCAGGTGGGTGTGGGCCAGGCCCAGCCAGGAGAGAGGCTTCCCCTTTTGGATGGACTGGGGATGCCCACTTTGGGCTGCTCTCTCCTGCGTTCCAGCTCTCCAGCTTTTGGGGGTGCAGGAGAAGGGAGCTGGAGGCAGGCACAAGCACAAACAGACTGGAGTTGCAGCATTTTTCGGCCTCTTTATTTAGAACCCGGCGGACGAGGGGCCGGGGCAGTGGTACAGACGGCTCAGGAACCATTTTAACAGACTTGTCTTCAAGTTTCAGATAAACACAGTCATAATAAGAGAGACAGCGAAAGCGCGAAGAGACTGCAAGCTAGATGGGCATGTATGGCAGCTACAGCTTGTGAGTGACCCCCTTCCCCAGAGTCCGCGATGAAAATAAAGTTACACTTGTCAATAACCAGATGTGGGAGATGGAGAGTGCCTTTGGCATAACCAATAACCGAGCTAGTGCGTGGCAGAGCGGTCCACGCCTGGACATAAATAGAAAATATAAGTTAGTATAACTTTAAAAACTTTTTGTACAAATATACATGGTTTTTTTATTTTTTCCTTTTTTTTTTCTTTTTTCTTTTTTTTGCACTGAGTTTCAGCAGAGATTAAACATTTTATATAAATGACTCTTAAAGCTTTACACCTTGGGACCAGTGTACCTTCTCGTGCAGAATACATTTAGATATAAAAAGACGTTATTAATACATTGCACAGTTTTCAAAATTTAAAAACAAAACCGAACGCTGCTCTGCGGCAGCCGCCGCCGGTTGCTGCTACATGAACGGTCCCAGCCGAGGCCCAGCGCCCTTCCAACGTCCGCTGCCCCGGCAGGTTCCCTCGGGGCTCTTTGGGCTCTAAACTGCGAGGAGAGGGGCGGTCAGCAAAGCCGGCGGGGACCCGGCGGGTCGGCCCTCCGCGCCCCCCCAGGTGCGCTGTACTCACTTGGCTCACCGCAGCCTCTTGCGCGGGGTCTGCTCCACCGAGCCCACGCCAGGGGCGGCGCTTGGAGAGGGACACGGCGCGGGGACATCGCCCGACGACTTCTCAGGCGCTGATCTCTTGCGCTTGGCGAAGAAATCTGCGGGCGACAGCGCGCGCGGCCGGTCAGGGCGGGGCCGGCCCGGAGACCCGAGAGGGGGCCGGGAGAGGGCGCGGGGCGCGGGCCGGCCGGGGTGGGGGCGCCGTCCCCGCCCGCGCCGAGGTCCGCGGCGGGTCAGCTTTGTTTACGTCGCCGCGCAATGTGCTGTGTAAGCATTTCCCCTTGTCCCGCGGCCAAGCCCCCCGGGGCCGCCGCCGCGCTTAACCCCCTCCACGCCGTGCTCACGGGGCGCGGGCGCGCCCGGGGAGGGGCTCCCGCGGCCGGGGGCGAAAACTGCGCTCCCGGGGGGTCGCGGCCGGGATTCAGCCTCCCACCCCGGCCCGCGCGAAGCCGCTCCACCCGAGAAGAACGGGGCCGCGAAGCCGCTGGAGGGCACAACAACGGGGCGGGGAGGGGGGTAAGCGCAGCCGCGCCCTGAGCGCTGCGGGCCCTTTAATGCCACGGGAGGAGGCGGGAACCCAGCGAGGCCCCCGAGGGCTGGGGGGACCGGCCGGCCGGACAAAGCGGGGCCGGCCCGGGCCGGGGCGGGGCCGTGCGGGGCTCACCGGAGATCAGAGGCCCGGACAGCTTCTTGATCGCCGCGCCGTTGGCGCTGGCGGCCGCGGTGCCGGCCGCGGGACGTCCCGAAATCCCCGAGTGCAGCTGGTCAGCGAGAGGCTCCTGGCCGCGCTGCCCCTGGTTCGCGCCCTGCTCGGCGCTCTCTTGAGGCGCCGCGTCCGGGGCCGGGGCCGGGGCGGGGGCCGGGGCCCGGGCCCGGGCCGGGGCTGGGGCCCGGGCCGCGACTGGAGCCGGGGCCGGAGCCGGAGCCGGAGCCGGGGCCGGGGCCGGGGCCAGGACCGCGACCGCGACCGGAGCCGCGACCGGAGCCGCGACCGGAGCCGGAGCCGGGGCCGGGGCTGGAGCCAGGACCGGGACTGGGGGCGGGGTGGACGCCGGGGCCGGGACCGGGACACTAGGCAGCTGCTCCGGCGCCTCCTCGAGGCCGTCGAGGGACTCAGCGGCCGGCTCGAGGGGCGGGCTGACAGCCACCGCGACCGCGACGGGCCGCGGCGCCAGCAGCAGGCGGCAGCGCCCCACCTGCACCGTCTCGCGGTAGAACGCGGGCACCGAGTCGCTGTCCACTTCGGTCCACTGCAGGCGTCCAGGGCCCCGCAGCGGCATGTCCTGCTGGAAGTCGTAATCCCAGCGGTTCTGGTCCTCGGCGTTCAGCTCGGCCAGGCGGGCCTGCAGCTCGCGGCTCAGCTCCTCGTGGTCCACCGGCCCGAAGAGGCTGCGGCAGGCGCTGGTGCGCACTAGTACTGGGAAGGTCCCACGGGCGACAAGACGCTCCATCGTGGATGTGCTGCGGAGGGACGCGTCGGACATGGCCCGGGGCTGCGCAAACGCGGGCAGCGAGAGAGGAGAGGACAGCGAGAAGAAGGGGAAAGGAGAGGAGGAGAGGGCGGAGGCCGGGCGCAAGGGAGACCCCGCGCCGCCCGACTCTGCGTGTGCGAGGGACGCGGCGGCTACCTGGCTGTCCGGTGGTGGACTCTTCTGCGTCGGGTTCGCCTGTCTCGTCCGGACGGCAGCCGCGCCCCCTCGATGCCTGCTGGCTAGCTCGCTCGCTCAGGCCTGGCCGGCACCCCTCGAGCACAGCGCACTTGGCCTGTGGAACGCCCAGCCCGCCTGCGCCCCCTTTATACGCGCGGGCCCCACCCCCGTGCGCGCGGGCCCGGCCGCGATTAGCATAATGTAGTATTTTCAGTTTCAACAACACCACGGCGATTGGCGGCCGCCCCGCTGCCCCGCCCCGCCGCGGCCCGGCCCCCGCGCACCGCCCATTGGCCGCGCGCACACCCACCGGGGGCGGGGCGGGGCGCGCGGCCGGGGCGCGCGGCTGATTGGCGGCCGCGGGGCGAGCGCGCTGTAGCAGGGGAAGGGGGCGGTGAGCGGGGCGGGGGCGGGAGTTAAAGGGCGCTGCGGGCGGTAACGTGACACCGCGACGCCCCGCCCCCTCGCCCCATCCCCCCTGCAACACTCCCCCACCCCCCCGGCTCCCGCCCCCCGCCGGCTCCTTTGTCTGCAGGCGGGGGCCTCAGCCCAGCGCGGCAGGGGCCGGCTCCTGGCGGGTCCGGTGTCCGGCCAGGCCCAACTCGACCCCGGCCCGGTCCGGACCCCGGCGCCCAGCTCCGTCCCGCGCTCGCCCGTGGGCCTCCTGCGCCAGCTGACGAGGCTTGGACCCGCCGCTGCCAGCTCGGCCCTGGCCTGCGCCGGATGGGGTCTTCGGCTGCCCCCGCGCGGCCTGCTGCTGCTGGGCTGGTGTCCCTTCGAGGGCTCCGCGCGCCTGGAGCCCTCACACACCTGCTGGCCCTAAGGCCCTCGAGTCGGGAGGGGGGACAGGGGTCAGCTCCACTCTTTCCCCGAGGGACCATGTGTGGGACACCTTGAGAGACTCCCACCAGCCCCCTGGAGCTGGAGTCTGAAGCCGCTATCTGCGGAGGCCCACCCTGCCCAGTAGATGGAACAGGGGCTGAGCCCATCATGTCACTGTCGGGGGTCCCAGCCCTTCTCAGCCTTGGGCCAGACCACTCCAGCCCCGGGATCTGCCTGTCCAGGCTGGCTGGAAGCTGTTGTACTGGGTAAAAGTGAAAGATCTGCCCGAGGTCATAGGGGAAGGGGCTGTGAAGGACCATGCCCCTCCCCCGCCTGCAGCCCTTCCTGGTACAGACCTCGGTCGTGCGCGCACGCACACACACACACACACACACACGCACGCACACACACGGTGCTTCACCCCAGCCAGGCCAGACCAAAAGAGACCATTATTTCCTGCTGCCTCCCTTTTGGCCCACCTACCATGAGTCAGGGAGCCCCCTCCTCAAACCAGGAGCCTCCCAGATCGGGATGGGGACTGTCAGACACCTGTTGGAGGGTCCAGCAGCCCATGAGATCTAAGCCCCTATCTCAGGTGAGCCTGTGAGCCAGCAGAGAGACCTCTGGGAGGGAGGGAAGGTGCGGTCCCCTGAACCCCAACCAGCCTGCCTTTGAGTCCCAAGACACCCCCACTCCCATGGAATGCTGTGGCAGTGTGCAGCTGCAGCTGGGGGAGCAGGGCGGGTCTTCTGGGTCTCAGGGAAGCGAGATCTGAAGTGAGGGGGGTGGAGTGGATGAGACAGGGCGTTAACCCAGGAGAGGGGCCAGGGCCATTATTGGCTGTTGATGGTGGAACCAAAAGCCATGATTTATGTGCAATTTCATATTTTTTTTTGTGCACAATTTACAAATTTCCCGCAACAAGCCCAGATGTCACAATTTTCATCTTAGGAAAACAAAGAGAAGCTGAAGAAGGCTCCCCAGGCCCTGCGAACCCCTCAAGCAGGGCTCATATCAACTGGCCTGGGGGCAGAAAGAGGCAAAGTCTGGTCTGCTCCATGCCCCTATGCTGCCACCTCCCCAGAGACTAGGAGCAAAGGGCTAGAGTGGGTAGTGACCTAGAGGCCCCCGGATACCCACACTCCAACCATCAGGACTCATTGGCCTTGGTGACACCACTCAGAGGGTGTAGCTGCCATCATCCTGTGTTATAGAAGAGCAGCAGAGACCGCGTCAGCCGCTGAGGCCGCACAGCTGGAGGGAAGCAGGGCTCAGAACTCCCGGGCTGCCTGGCTTTCTGGTTTGGTTTCCACTTAGGTTTCCTACTTTTATTTTTCCACTTTACCAGCTTAATTACAGAGTCAAACCCAGTGCTGTGGGGATTCCTCCGTCTTGGCCTCGTTAGAAGCTGAGAGGTGACCTGCTCTAAGTCTGTCACTCTGAATTCGATCAAAGATGGTACCCAATAGCATTTTAAACCTGCACGTCCCAGGAGCGGGGCTGTGTCCCCCCAGCCCAAGCCAGGGACACACCTGGAGGAAGGCACCCCAGGAGCTGGGGGCTGGGAGTTCCAGGCTCTGAGAGGAGGCCCAATGGGCCCAGAAGCAAGCAAACATCTGTCTAGGTGCAACAATCAAGCTCTATTTTTGTAATTAAAAATGTATCCAAAGGGAAAAAAGAAACAAAAGGAACAATATTTGTACTCTATGTTGCTGCAGAGAGCAGAACTGCGGAGGGGGTGCTAGTCCCAAGGGGTGGACTGTGCTGTGCTAGTGCCCTAAATCCTGCAAGCGCGGGGTTGGGGGGGCGGGGGAGACCGCTGTCGGGGGTCGTGAGTTCCGGGCCCTTGTGTGCATGTTCACGTCCTGTCATTCTTGCCCCCAGCTGAGAGAGCAGTAGAGGAAAGGCACTACATCCACCAGCCTTTGCATTCTCCTCGGAGCACACAGAAAGACATTTTCCAGTTATCTTGCACACAAGTGGGCGGCGGGACCCGTTTTGGCCGGGAACGTTGTCAGGAACGCTGTACACCACTTCCAGGCGGTCACGTCCGAGCTGCCCAGGCAGTCTTTCTGCGCCTTCTGCTGGCCAGATGGAGGCTGCAGACCCTGCGGGGCCATCAGGAGAGAACCACCAAGCACCCTCTGCACACCGCATTGCCTGTGTTGGGCACAAAGAATAAACTTTTATTGCATCTTAACCCACTAGAAATGTAGGCTTGTCCATCACAGTGGGGCGTTACATACCCTAATACATAGGGAAGGCATAGGTAGATTTCAGTTGGCCTTTTACAGACAAGGAAACCAAGGCTTGAGAAGATTCAAACCTTACTGCAGCCATGGCTCACACCTATATACCCTCAGTACTTTGGGAGACCAAGGCAGGTGGCTCGCTTGAGCCCAGGAGTTCCAGACAAGCCTGGGCAACATAGAGAAACCCCATCTCTACGAATATTTTTTAAATTAGCTGGGTGTGGTGGCACGTGCCTGTGGTCCCAGCTACTCGGGAGGCTGAGGTGGGAGGATTGCTTGAGCCCAGGAGGTTGAGGCTATAGTGAGCCGTGATCGTGCCACTACCTCTAGCCTGGACGACAGAGCAAGACGCCCTCTAAAAAAAAAAAAGAAGAAGAAGAAGAAGAAAGAAGAAGAAGAAAAAGAAAAACTTGCTGCCCAAGCAGTTAAGGCAGGATTAACCTGCAGCCCTCACTGCTGTGCGTTCCTTCTAGGAAAGACCCAGAAGCCAGAGAAGCCTAGGTCCCAATCCTGGTGGATCTTCGTGCTGGAATCGTTAAGCCAGCTGTTTCCCAGGGGCCACCCATGGGCCAGTCCTCACCACAACCTCATGGGTGGTCGGTCAATGTCGTAGGCCCGCTTTACAGCCGAGGAGACAGAGGCTTCCAGAGGCAAACACACTGGTCCATGAGTAGCAGAACGAGGGTAGGCCCAGGAAGCCATGTCCTTGGCCACATGTGCTTTCTGGCGGGTGACCTCCACTCCAGTGCCTCCCCGGCTGCCCGAGGCCTCCCCTTCCCGGGTGTGGCAGCTGTACAGCTGCCTTGTCGGCATGTTCATGGCCCCATCAGGAATGTGTGCCGCAGGTGGCTTCACAGGGCTAGGAATGCCCGTCCTAGGTTAGGCCCAATCCCTACCCAGAGCCCCAGGGAACCCAAATTCTGGGACACAGGACACCCGGCCAGTGGGCCAATGGCCCCTATCAGGGAGTGACCAAGGACAGGCCGGGAGCTCTTCTTTCCCCTCTGACCCATGGTGAAACCTGCCTCGGGCCTGTTCCCTGGGTTCTGAGGCCCTGAGCTATCTGTCTTCAAACAAACGAAGGCCTCAAAGAATGTTCCATTGAGCCATGGGCCCCATATCACCCATCAATCACAAAGGGCTGGGGATTGCAGGCACAGGGTCAAGGTGGGTAGGAGGTGAGGGCTGGACACCATCTGAATCTGTGCTGTTCCAGGGCCCACTAGAGAGTCTCCAGGTACCCGGAGCCTGCCCTCAGCAGTACCACCCTCCCACAGCACCCCAGGGACCCTGCAAGAGGTGTCTGTGCCCTTCCCGGCTGCCTCCCCAGCTGCTCCCCAGGTGGTGCCCTGTGGAGAGGACCAGAGGGATATTATAAACATTGACAACACTTGCTGCCTTCATCTTGTGCGTGCTCAGGGCCATGCCCTAACCCAGGGCTGGGCTCGTTGCCTCATTTAATCCTTCCAAGACCCCTGAGAGGGAGGTGTGTTCGTGCCCATTTTGCAAGGGAGGGGACTCAGGCTCCCAGAGGTTAAGCCACCTGCCTGAGGTCACTGAGACTTGAGGTTGGCCNTGCATTTCACCCAGCCTGAGCCCCTCCATAGGACTTCTGTGAGGGCACAAGAAAGCAGGAAAAGAAAGAAGTCAAGGGCCCTGGGAATCTCCCCTGACATCTCCCACCCCAAGCCCTAGAGCCAGGGCTGGGCATCTGTGCAGGGTACAACCCTGCCCAGGGATGCCTGACTCTGGAAAGGCCACCCCTTTGGCCTCAAACCACATCACCCAGCAGCAGGTCCTCAGACCAGCCCTGGACAGGAGCTTGACTGGCTGTGCCCCCAAAGGCCCCAGAGCTCCCTGCCCCCACTGAGCCTCCACCTTCCCATCCATAAGATGGGGTGGGGAGTCATCCAGCCCAGAGGCCCCAGGGGCATGGGGAGTGACAGATTAACCCAAGGCCCCCCCTCCCGCAACAGGCGGCTCAGCACACACTTGGCGGGGGGCCATGCTGGGCCAGGAGAGCTCCCCCGCACCAGTTCCCCGCGCGCAAGGCTCGCCCCGCCCCCCAGGACAGGCTGTTCTTGGGGCGGCTGCCAGGCACGTCCTCCGCAGGTGCCGGCCTCCCTGCGGTGACGTGGCCACATGCGCGGCACAAGCTCCGATTACAGGGACTGCCTTGTGCTGGGGGTTCCGGCCAGGGGTCCTCACTCCCCAGGAACCGATGGGCGGAGCTGGGCAGGCCCTGAGGAGAGGCCCAGTGGGAATAGGGAACAGTCACCCCTGCTCCAGAACGGGACCAGGGGCTGCTTCCCTTGGGGTCTGGAAGAGAGGGACCCCCTGGTCCCAGCCTGCCTGAGACTGCTGGTTTCGGCACTGAATGTTCCAGGAAACCGAGGGCCACTGGTCATCGTGGGCTTCACACGGCGCCTTTCTGGGCTAGGAAGGGGGCTCCCGGGCTAGGAAGCAGGTACCGAGGAGGGTCTCAAGGACATGTGGGGACCTATGTCAGACACCCCTGCAGCCAGCTCTGAGCCCACCAGGCCTTTCCTCCTCTCCCTGCCAATCCACAGGACACAGACACAGGGGTCCCAGGCCCAATGGCTCACTTTATCAGGGAAACAGCAGGAAAAACAAATCTGGTGTGAGCAGATCTCCCTTCCCACCAAGCCCCCTGACTTCCTGCTGGAGCTCGGGGAGACCCCTGTGACCAGCATCTCCTGCCTACGGGGGGCGCCAGGGCCTCAAAGCCTCTCCAAGCCACTCCCTCCCACCCTGCTTTCCACACCCAAGCCACAGCGTTCAGAGAAGCTCAGGGCCTATTTGAAATGCCAGAGAGTGGGGATGCCTCCAGAGAGGTGGCATGAGGGCCCCCAGATGCACCCCACCACTCCCTCCTCCACTGCAGGAGGAGGGGCCTGCAGTTACTGAGGAAGCCTCACCCCTACTGGGCCCTCGGGGGTGAAGGGGCTTCCCAGGCCTTGAGGGAGACTTTATTTCAGATGTCAGTTAAAAGCGCCTGCTACATGGCGTGACCTCTCTGAATCCTATTACTTTCCTGTGCAGGAAACTGAGGCCCAGAGAGGTGGAGTGACCGGCCTAGGGTCCCCCAGCAAGTCAGAGACAGTGAAGCCACCTCCTGCCCTGGGCTGGGGTCCCGCCCCACTGACCTCCAGGGTCAGAGAAGGAGGGGAGCCCCAACACTTAACTCCTCCTTTCTTCCTGCATTCCTTCCTCCCTCCCATTCTCCACCTCCTCCTGGCTGAGCTTTGAAGCCAGGGCAGTTGGCCAGACCGAGCGCAGAGGCCAGGAGGTGACGGCAGGCTTGCCCTGGCGGCCTCCCAGGTTAACACACTCCCAGGTGGCTGCACCCCACAGGCGAGGGCTGCTCAGAGTAGATGCTCAACCAAGAGGTTGCCCGTGCCCCCTTCCCCAGCCGCAGGGGCAGCCAGAAGCCAAGCAGCCTCCCGCCCACTGGAGCCTGGAGCCTGAGGGCTGAAGCTGGGCGCCTGCTGCCCCCTGGCGTCCCGAAACGGCACAGCCACCAGGACCCCCACCCACCTCATTCATGCCTCACACCTGGGGGTGACTTGGGCCAGGGCCTTGCTCTCTGGCCCCGAGTCCCCTCAAGTGTAAGATGGGGGCTCTGCCCAGTGTGGCTGTCCGGGCTGCAGCGGGCAGGAGCGCATTTTTCACAAACCCCAACACCCCTCCGATCTGGGGGTGGGGCGGTGTCACTCGCACCTCAGTGGGAAACAGCACGTGGGCCTCGCCCGTCTCCAGGGGGTGGGGGAGGGGAGACAAAGAGCCGCTCTGCGGAGAGGTGGGTACCCGCCCTGCCGCCCCTCCCCCATTTCCTCTCTGCTCCCCCTGCCCCTCCTCCCCTCCCTCCTCCTTCCTTCCCTCCTCATCCCCAGCTCCTCCTCTTCCTCTTCCTGCCCTATCCCCCCGCAGGCCCGGCCGGCAGCCCGGCGCCCTCTGCCTTCGTTCCCGCCATTGGCGCTGCTGCCCGGAGCCCCTAGGTGACAGCCAGCCCCGAGGCTGCAGCCTCTGTGTCGGGCCTGCACCTGCCCACCGCGTGGTCACTGCCTGGGCACGTATGGACACTCACACCCTTCAGTCCTGAGCACAACTGTGCCCTGGCTGCTTCGGAACAACAAGGAATCATAGTCCTGCTTCTGGCTGGGAGCTGGGGGCCAGCAATCAGGGCAGCTGGGGAAGTGGTTAGGGAGTGTCTGCACACAGGCCAAGCTCAGAGAGTGAGCAGAGAATGGGCCCAGGGGAGGGCGCTGGAGAGGGCTGCAGGGCTTGGGGCTGCAGCTCAGGAGCTGGCTTCACCTTGGAGGCTATCAGACCTGCTCCTCAGCATTGGCCCAGCAAGGGGAACAGTATGGGGAACAGGGGACAGGCACTGCCTGGCCAGCAGCAAACAAGTAGGCTGTGGAGTTGGGCAGAGCATCTGCCTCTTACTAGCTGTGTGTCCTTGGGCAAGTTGCTTAACCTCTCTGTGCCTCTTCTTTCTCATCTGTAAAGCTTCTGATGAGGCTTAAAGGGCAAGTCAGTATGTGCCTGGCACAGCGGCCTTCCTCTTGAGGATGCCACTACCCTCACCATCATCAGCCTCTCCCTCCAACCTAGAGGGGCAGGCAGGGCAGAGAGCTGCCACTGGCCACCCCTCCAGCTGTGCTGTAATGAAAACTGGACATTCACTCTATACCCAGAGATGTGGGCTGGCGGGGAGGAAAGGCACCTACACCCCTGCCATGTAAACAGGCAGGCAGGGTGAAAGGGGTTTGGTTTGTTTGTTTGTTTTTTGAGATGGAGTCTCACCCTGTCGCCCAGGCTGGAGTGCAGTGGCGCGATCTTGGCTCACTGCAACCTCCGCCTCCCAGGTTCAAGCAATTCTGCCTCAGCCTCCCAAGTAGCTGGGACTACAGGCGCCTGCCACCACACCTGGCTAATTTTTGTATTTTTAGTAGAGACGGGGTTTCACCATGTTGGCCAAGCTGGTCTCAAACTCCTGACCTCATGATCCACCTGCCTTAGCCTCCCAAAGTGCTGGGATTACAGGTATGAGCCACCGTGCCAAGCCTAGGATGAAATGTTATCTACATGATGAGCAGTTTGGGCAGTGAACCCCACCTTTGTCAGAGTTCAGGACAGTCCATGGGATACAGGTCACTCCGACTCTCATGCATCAGTCTTCACGCCAGCCCTGAGTGAGCACTGAGGCACACGTGCCTAGCACCCAGCAGTGGCCCCATCCCCTAGCTGCTGGTCAGTACCAGCTGCCACTGCAGCACACCCTTTCTGCTAGGCAGCCTTATGCCATGCACTTGATGTGCAAATGATCTTGTCTAATCTTCACAAGCATCCCGTGAGGCAGGGATTAACGTTGTCCCCATTTCACAGATGGGGAAACTGAGGCTCAAGAGTTCCAGACCCAGGCAAGCCCTGGTCAGTGGTGAAGATGCCAGCCTGGTGGGGCTGGCTGCAGAGTGCTGGGCCCTGTCATAAGCACAGGCCTCTGGCACGCATGCTGACTGCTGGGGATTTTAAGATTGGGGCCCCCCTGCTGAGCCCTATCTACAGCTGCCCCCTTCCCTGGGTTACCCCAGGTTTTAATTTGAAGCAGTTAGTGAATTGAGCTTATGTGGGGTCTTATTTGTATTTGCTTTTGGGTTTTTGCTTTTTGGGGGAGTTTTTGGGTTTTATTGAGATAGAGAGTCTCACTCTTTTGCCCAGGCTGGAGTGGAGTGGTACAATCTTGGCTCACTGCAGCCTCCGCCTCCCAGGTTCACGATTCTCATGCCTCAGCCTCTCAAGTAGCTGGGATTACAGGCATGCGCCACCACACCCAGCCAATTTTTTGTATTTTTAGTAGAGACAGGGTTTTGCCTTGTTGGCTGGGCTGGTCTCAAACTCCTGGCCTCAAGTGATTTGCCAGCCCCAGCCTCCCAAAGTGCTGGGATTACAAGCATGAGCCACCTCGCAGGGCCCTGTATTTGGGTATTAGCCATGGCAGCCTGGCAGATGTTGCTGAGGGTGTCTGGGCACCTGGGCCTGGGCTTGGCGGCCTGAGCAGTGCCTCCTCCTCAAATGTCAAATTGAGGCCTGGACTAAGGGTGTCTGATTTATGGCCTCACCTGTCTGTCCGTCCATTCAGCAATATCTCCGTGGAGACCTCAGGGGCAACTGTGCTTTCAGGGGCTTCCGGGTGGGCAGGCAGAAGCAGAAATAAGTATACAAGGCAGGGTGGTGCCCAGGTTGTATGATGAAGGAGGGGACGGGGGATTTTCAGGGCAACGACTTGTGCCAAGATCCAAGGATGGAAGGGAAGAGACGTACAGGCAAGGGGACCATTCCAGGCAGGGGACACAGGCAGAGACCCATCCAAAGATGAGTGCAGGGCAGACAGTGCTTGAAGCTGGAGCTCTCTATCTCTCATGCTTCTTTGGTTTGCAAAATGTGGCATGATCCAGTGGGGGCTGAGGGGCCAGGGCTCCAGGGCTGGCTGCCCCAGGAACACAGCAGTGTCACCAGAGGTCCAGGGTGGGAACCACCAGAGTTTTAGAAACTCACCCAGCCATGTCCAGGGTGCCTGGAGCAGGGAAGGGAGGCTGCTACACCTCACTGAGATGCCAGTGTGGCTGCCCCCGGTGGAAACCAAATAGCCAGGCTCCCTGAAGCTGCCAGCAAGTCTAGGGGCAGGGAGGACAGGTGAGAGCTGAGAGGCCTCCAAGGGTCAGAAGTAATTGCATGGGTTTTGCGACTTCTCCTCTTGCTTCTTGGAAATCCTTCCTGCTTCTTTCTGGATTCCCTACTGAATTCTGAAGGTTCTAAAAGACCTGGAGGCTGGGCACTATGGCTTATGCCTGTAATTCCAGTGGGAAGATCACTTGAGGCCAGGAGTTCAAGACCAGCCCAGGCGACATAGCAAGATCTTGTCTCTATAAAAAAAAAAATTTTTTTTTAATTAGCTGGGTGTGGTGGTATTCATCTGCAGTCCCAGCTACCAGGGAGACTGAGGCAGGAGGATCACTTGAACCCAGGAGTTCAAGGTGGCAGTGAGCTATGATCACACCACTGCACTGCAGCCTGGATGACAGAGCAAGACCTTGTCTTATGAAAAATAAAATAAAGAGAACATGGATGTGGGTAGGATGGTGAGAGCTTGGGGCTGTCCTTTGTTCCTGGGAGGGGGAAAGGGACTGGGACCAAAGGAGGCTGCGGTTGAGGGAGACGTGTGTACCTAAGAGATGGGCAGTAGATAAGCTCCAGGCCCTCCGGCAGGTGCCTGTGGGGGGACAGAGGCAGTGGTGTCCATGCCACCCATCGTGCATGAGTTTCCCAGTTCTGGCTGGTGAGCAGGTGTGAGGCTGCTCTCTCAGGACCCCGTTCGGAGGCACATCTCTTCCTGATCCCACGATGCCGTTCACATGCACACACATGCTCACATGCACACATACACATGTGCACACACCCCACCACAGCCCTTGCCAGCCTGGGACCGCCAGCTGCTGGCTCCTCCCCCTGCCTCCCCGGATGGACATCCGTCCTTTGCAAGGGCTGTTCTTCCTTCTTCCTTCTTCCTGAGTCCTGAGGTCGGGCAAGGCATCCCTCAAGGGAGTCCACAGGTTGGGCCCACCACCCCGCAGTTCCCAGTTCCTATGCCATTGCCTGGCTACCTCCCCAACCTCCACCATCGTCCCTTCCTGCCTCCAGGTCAAGGACCGGAGAGAGTCCCTCTGGCCTCCAAGGGTCCTATGAGGGGAGGGTGACCCAGTTTGTCCGGAGCTGTCCCAATTTTGGCATGGGAAGTCCTACATCCCAAAACTCCTCAGTCCCGAGCAAACCAGGTCTCCCCCAAGCAATGAGTGAGCTTCCTAGAGCAGGGTCCCAGCTCCACCACCCATCTCCTCTGGTCCCTTGGCCTGTGGTATGAGAAAGGGGACGTGGGCTACTCCAGACTACACTCTCACTGTCCCCCAAAGGCCTCAAGGGCTCCAGTCTTCAGGCCCCACACTGGACGCCTCCCCCATGCTGCCATCTGGGCCTTTATCTCCTTCAGCTGTGGCTGTTGGCCAGCGTGAACACAAATACGTGAACCACAGCCCACCATGTTGGAGCCCCAGGTCCAGGCCCACAGTGGAGCCCAGTGAGGGGAGAGTGCTCGCCCATCCAGGACCACAGGACTCTCCCCAAAGCCCATAGCACGTTGCTGCCCTCCCTCCATTTGGACACTGGTGTCAGGGACTGGGCCCTTGGCCCTAAGCCTGTCTGGGTTCCCTGGTTCACTAGAGGCCAGTGGAGAAGCCCCTGTTGGCAGAGCCTCTCTCCGGGGCCCTGGCCCTAAAGGCCACAATTCCACACACCTCTCATGGGATGTGTCTGAGCCCAATGCCCAGCCCGGCAAGAACCAGCCCTGGATGAGGTCCAGCCCCTGCCCCTCCTCCTAGAAGTCTCTGCCCAACCTCCAATCCCAGAAGCGCATTCAGAGTCCAGTTCTAGAAGGTTCCTCAGCACCTGACAGCCCACTTCCTCACGTGCACCTGCACAGCCGGGGCCTAGCAGATGAGAGACAGCGTGGGCACCACCAGGCCCCCCGCAGGGCTACCTGGCAAGCCTAGCCCCTTTGGGCTGAAGGCTGACCCCTGGGTCCCAAGGATACCAGGTCAGGGGGTAAAGGACCTTTGAACCCAGCCTCCCAGACTCTTAACCTGACACCTCCCAGATGAAGCCGAGGCCAGGCACCCAGTGCCCACAGCAGGCTGAAGGCCCCTCATAAGGCTGTGATTCCCAAGACAACACATACAAAGCCTGGGGTGCTGGGACAGAGCCCCAACAGGGTGTCAGACACAGATCCCACTGTGGGATCCAGGCAGCCCCCATTGACCAAGGTCTGCAACCGCACCTCACCTGGCTGAGAAGGTGTAAGGTGGGCGGGAACCGAGGTTCGGGCGGGCAGGAGTCACATCCAACCCTGCCTCCGCTCTAGTCCCGCCCCAGGCAAAACCTTGTTGGCTTTATTGAGACAGGTCCTTGGAGAATCATAGGAGTAAGAGTACAAAGCCTCAAGGAGAACACGTTCACTTCACCCATGGAGTAATGGCGAAGGCCAGAGCCCTCCCCGCTCCTTCCAGATCACCCTTCTGTCCTCTGCAGCATCATGGAGTAATGGTGAAGGCCAGAGCCCTCCCCGCTCCTTCCAGGTCACCCTTCAGTCCTCTGCAGAATCATGGAGGGATGGTGAAGGCCAGACCCTCCCCGCTCCCTCCACATCACCCTTCCGTTCTCTGCAGCATCACTCTTTTAAATCTTAAAATTGTAAACAAAGGTTCTCTCTCTTCATCCCACTTCCCCTCCAGCCACAGTCCCATTTCTCAGCCCCCTTTTGGTGCAAAACCCTTCAGAAGGGTGTCCAGCCCATTCCTCCTGCTTGAATCCCGAGGGTCAGCCCCCATGCTCATGACGCTCTTGCCAAAGCCACCAGTGACTCCAGCTCTCGGCCCCAAGGAAGCTCCCAGGCCTTCACTCGCTTACCTGCCTCTCTCTCCAGACCCAGCTCCTTTATTTTTCCCTCCCTTTCCCTGGTCAGAACCCTGGGCACCTCCTCCTCATGCTGGGGTCCAGCCTTGGCCCTTGGCCCCTCTCCTCTCTAGCCCCATCCACTCCTGGTCATCTCATCCAGGGTGGGAGCTCTAAACAGGACATGAGTGTCAATGACACCCTCACGTCCAGCTCAGACCACATGCCGCAAACTGCACACTGCACACTCTGCCCTCTCTGCTGGCCCACAGGCCCCTCCCGTGGATGGACCTGCAGGGTTGCCTCCCCTCATGTCGCCCCCAGCCGCACCTGAAGGCCCCCTCAGTTGGCCCTCTCAGCCCAGGCCCCAACCAGCAGGAAGCCTGTCAGGCCTCCTTCCAGGGAGGTTCCAAACCTGCCCCTCAAATCCCCCCATGCCCCATCCAAGTCCACACCACCTCTCATCTGGACCACAGCAGAGACCTCCTGCACTGCCCCTCCCCTCAACCCCTCATCAGCACATCAGCCAGAGGCTCCTTGGAGAACAGAAGGGGCTCAGAACCCTGCAGCGGCGTCCACTGCACACACAGGAAGAACTCAAGTGCTCGTAGGCAGTGAGTCATTTCCTTAGGCATTGTGGTGACCCGGGATCATGTGCCTCCCCGAAGCCTGCACATGCACTCTAATGATGCAAGCTACCACCGGGCGGTCAGCTTTGCCAGCTGACGTCCCAAACAGCTGGCATGGGGCATGCACACAGTAGGTGCTTAATAAATGTGTGTCGGGTTAAGATAGGCCCAAAGCCATTTCAAATGTCCAGGCAGTGGTGTATGCAGGGGTCAGCTCTGAAGCTGGCCTCCTCTCATTCGGGAGACCCCTCAGAGGTCCCAGCCTCCAGGATGCAGTGTTCAGAGCAATACTTCTCAGTGCACGTCTGGCTGTGTCCCTGCCCAGCGCTCCCAGGGTCACCCCTCTCTCTAGACTCACTTTCTGCCCCGTCACCCCACTGTACACCCTTGGTCCCAGCCCCTTCCAGTGGCTCAGCTTCCTGAACACTCCAAGCCTGGGCTCACCTCTAAGCCGTTATCTATGCTATTCTCTCAGCCAGGATGCCCTTCCCATACCCAAACAATCCGTGCTCACCTTTAAGACTGGCTGAGGCATCACCTCCTCTGAGAAGCCATCTCTCCCAAACCTGAGCCCAGATGAGCCAAAGCCCTTCCTTCCTCCAGTCAGCCTGGATCCTCTCATCCGGCAGAACTGTCGCCTTGCTTCTCTGAAGCGGTGAATGCCCTGGGGCTGGGGACGCACAGGCTCGCTGGCCCACAACCAAAGCCGCTTCCTCTGGAGGAGGAAGTCCAGGGGTGCCAGGGTTCCACTTGCTTTCTTCTTCACCCAGCCTAAAGGGCAATTTTCCCACATTCCCTCAGAACCAGGAAGTTCCCCCATTCACACTGAGCCTGTTCATGACAAAAAAAAAGGTCTCTCCGATTTCCTCTGCTCAACCAGTTCCCTGGCTACCTGAGGCCCTGCTTCACCTGGAGGAAGACAGTGGTAAGTTTCCAGCATCTCCACCACACCTCAGCGCCAGAGGACCCTCAGCCTCCCTCGCACACCTCTGGGCAGTTTGGTAACTCATCCCATCTCCTCCTGCCGCTTCATCCTCTAAGCCCTCCCCAGGGAACCCAGGAGGCGTCTGGAACCTGTTGGGGACAGTCCCTCACACCTGCCCCATTGAGTAAGGGTTCATGTGGATGCCCATCCTCCCCCAGGAGTCCCAAATCTAAGACACTCTGAGACTCCTGTCACCCACCCCCACCTTACACAGCCGGCCTTTCTGTGCAGTCCTTCCAGGAAACTCTGGCTGGACCTGGGCTCTCGGCTTGACTGCACTCTCCCCAAGTCCCCAGGGGGGCCAGTGGTGACTATTCTTGAAAACGAGCTTGGCAGAGGATCTGGGGACACGCACTCCAGATGCAAACACGTTTGCACTCTTTGGGCTGGAATCCCCTCGAGCGGTACACTGCACCCGTGGGCTTGCTAAGAAACCACCTCACAGAGGGCAGATTGATTGGACAAAAGGCATTTGGTCCCCAAATTGATTGACGTGTGTGAATGGGAGTTTTCAGAACAAAGACCCAAAGATATGGGGGAAACAGGCTGGGCGCGGTGGCTCACGCCTGTAATCCCAGCACTTTGGGAGGCCGAGGGGGGGCGGATCACGAGGTCAGGAGATCGAGACCATCCTGGCTAACACGGTGAAACTCCGTCTCTACTAAAAATACAAAAAAATTAGCGGGGGCTGTGGCGGGCGCCTGTAGTCCCAGCTACTCGGGAGGCTGAGGCAGGAGAATGGCGTGAACCCGGGAGGCGGAGCTTGCAGCGAGCCGAGATCGCGCCACTGCACTTCAGCCTGGGTGACAGAGCAAGACTCCGTCTCAAAAAAAAAAAAAAAAAAAAAAAAAAGATATGGGGGAAATTGCCATTTCTGATGCTTAGGCTCAACAAAGTATGGACATCCATGCGGGAACACAGATGAACCAAGGGACCTGCACTAATGCTCCTGGACCGCAAGGGGAAGCGCAGCGAGGGCTGTTGGTCTAGATTTCTTGAACTTTCTGAGCAGCATTCCTTCTTTCTGGGCATGGAGCAGGACCCTCCTGGAATGGGGTCTTATGCCCTACAGTCAAACAAGAGAGGTCAGATAATTTATGGCCAGCTTCTAAACACAAAGGTGGAGGGAAAGTTAGAGCAATATTTTTAGGTTTGATGTCTGGCTGTGTGGAAAGGCGGGGTTCTGATTTCTATGACCTGCCCTGGGGAAAATGGATTCCAGTTTCTAAGGCCAGCTTCGGGGAAAATGGCACTGAGAGACAGGAGAGCAAGAGAAGGTCAGAGAAACACTTTTTCTTCCGAAGCTGCTTCTGAGGCCTTCATTTTGGGGTATTGTTTTCTGATGCCCAACATATCTGAGCTGCTGAACGAAGGGTAGCTGCTGAACCACTCCCACGGTGACTTGGAATGGCTTAGCCAGCCGGCCTTGGGCCACCTGGCTCTGGCCCCCCTGCCCACCAGGACTTTGGCCGGCTCTCGCTCGCCTCTGCGATGTCCGTCCCACCCAGTCTCACCCCTGCAGTTTTCTGCTCTGTGGAGCGATGATTGACACATGGCAGGGGGACACTGGTTTTGACATTTGAGCCTGTGCCCAGCCCTTGCCTGGGGAGGAGGTGGGGCAGGAGTCCTGAATGAGCATCTCCCTACTTAGTGACAGTCAGGGGCACGGAGAATGGTGCCCAGGCCAAGGGCAGGGCTTGGGCCAAGTGTGCGCAGCGTGGGGTGTGTGTGCTCCAGCGGCTCCTGCTGCGGAGGGCGGCATGAGGCTTGTTTACCTGTGTGCTGGCATCTCTGGTGGCCCCTGCAAGGGTGGGGAAGTGGCAGGCAGGGTGAAATGGGGAAAAGTGGGCTCTCAACTGCTCCTAGCAGCCTCCGGGTCTGGGGAGGGAAGTGAGGAGGGGCCCAGAGCTGTCTCCTGGTCACTCTTCTGGGGCTCTGTGCAGACCTTTGGCAGGGCCAGGCTACACCACACCCTCTACAACCTCCCCTGACTTCTTCCCCTAACCCCTCACCACCATTCCTCCGCTTTTCTCTCCCCGCCCCTGCCTCCCCTCCATTCTCTCCTTCCCTCCACCTCCCGGTCCCATCCCCTGCCCACACTGCCCCTCCTCAGGCCCAAAGTGGACACCGGTGCTGCCTGAGGGTCAGAGTGTCCACCTCCAGCAGCCCGGGCACCGGGCAGGATTCAAGCTGGAGGGGGCTGGGGCGGGCGAAGCCGGGCACGGGGGCGAGCCCGCTGGTGGGCGGGGCAGGGGCGGGTCCTTCGAGGGGAGGGGCGGGCTCGGCCAGTGAGAGCGCAGAAACCGTGGCACGGGCGCTCCCGGAACTGGCGATTGCAAAGCGCGAGGGCTGGAACTCAGACCCAGAGGGGCGGTCCCTGTTGCAAGTCATCTCCCGAAAGGGCGGGGCCGGGGCTCATCCCGGAAGGACCGGTGTTTAGGTCACCNTGGAGCGCTCACCCCACCGGCACCAGTGCCCAAGCCCGCCCCTGCAAAGGCAGGTACTCGAGCACATTCTGGAGAGGGCGGCTTCTGAGCCCCGAACCCCGAACTCCGGCGCAGCGTCGCACCTCTGCCCAATGAGGTGCCCAAGACATGCATGGTGCGGGTGCCATGCTCCCCCCCAGCATCCCTGCATCCCGGGATGGGGGAGGGCGCCAGGCGCAGCTCCCGGACCCTTAGGGGTTTTCCCAGCCAAACCTCACCAGCGGGGGTTAGGAACCTAGGGGCTCAGGTGTGCAGTCAGCTGTTAATGTGGCAAAATATGGGGAAGTCATTTGCAGCGGCAAAATCCAGTTCCCACCAGTTGGAGGCCGGGCGGGGAAGGGTGGGGACAGACAGCACTCCGCTGTGGGAGGTAAGGCAGAGCTACTGGGGAGCCTGGAAGGCTGAGATATGTCTCCCATACGCAAGACCATTCCAGAAGCCCCTTGGAGCTCTGGCTGCTGGCCACAGGGGAAGGTAGACCTTCCCTGAGAGCTGCACTGTGTTGGGGACAGGGCCACTGTGGGCCTACGGAGGGCCTCCAGGCACAGGGACCCACATCAGCCCTCTGGCCACAGAAGGCGCTGATGATTTGAGGTGGACTCAGCCACCACTCCGAGCCTCTGCCTCCCTCTAAAAGTGGGGCATGGCACATTCCTGTGTCAGGCAACCAGGCACTGAGCCTGGCCCACCTGCAGGGGTCGGGGGGAGCAGCTTGTCCCTGTCTCCCCTCCCCGGGAGGCTGTGTGCCTGGAGACCAGAGCTGTCAAAAGTGGAGGAGGGGGACCCCCTGATGTGTCCTCTAAGGTCCAGGTAGCAGGAGAGCTCCACTGGGGAGGGGGTCCTGCAGTGCTGTCCTCTCTTGCAGGCAAGGCCAGGCGGGTGCTGCCTGGGACCCAGTGACTCAGCACCCCTGCCCGGATCAACTGGACTTTTGCCCCCTGCTCCGCCAGCCTCCTGCTTGGATCTCTCCTGGGTCTCCCTGCTGCGCCTGTCCAGGATGCAGGGAGCTCGGGCTCCCAGGGACCAGGGCCAGTCCCCCGGCAGGATGAGCGCTCTAGGCCGGTCCTCGGTCATCTTGCTTACCTACGTGCTGGCCGCCACAGAACTTACCTGCCTCTTCATGCAGTTCTCCATCGTGCCAGTGAGTAACACACCCCAGCCCCTGCAGCCCCAGCCAGGGCTGAACCGCTGTTCCTCCTGCCCTCCATCTGGGCCGTCGCAGAGAGTGGGGGTGGGGGTTTCATGCTGCCAGGGCCCCTCCCAGTTGGGACTCCATGCCACGCTTAAGCTGAGTAAGTTAAGGACTCTGCCTCTGGACCCCCGTCAGCACATCCTGTGCTCCAGCTTCAGTGCCAGCCCCGGGAGAAGCCATGGGGAGCCACCCCACTTCCCTCCTGGGGGCAGCACCTCCTCAAACCTTCCTAGCGCTGTTCCTCCTGCCTCTCACCCGGCAGCCTTTGCCCTCTGGAGTCCCTGCCCCAAGGGCTGTTCAATCCGGTGTGGCTCTGGGCGGATCACCCCTCAGAGAGGCTCTCCTTGCACCTGCCCGCAGCTTCTATCTCTCCCCTCCATCTTCTTGGGTCCTTGTTGTCCACTAAATGATCTGTGGCGGCAAATTGATCTCAAGCTTTTTCTTGCAAGAGATAGAATGCTCTCTTATTTTATTATCTCTGTTGCCAAATGCGGAAACATTTCATTGGCAAATTCATGTTAGTTTAGTGTATCATTCAGTAGTCTATACCACAGTGTGTGGCTCTGGAAGCTGTAATAGTAATGATTAAATTATATTCACCAAGTCTGGAGAGGCTTGGGAACAAAGTCTCACATCACCAAGAAGCTCAGGCAGAGTCAGGGCCAACCTCGGCCCTTCCTGTGTTTGCTTCTGGGAAGCCCGGCGTGCGTGGGCTCAGACAGCTGCCCTCCTCCTCTCAGCCCTCAGAGCCTGGACCTGGGCATCTAGGCGGGAGTGGGGATGGGCCTTTGGCACCATTCCGGGACTGGCAGAGGCTCCCAGCCCGAGGGTGAGCCTAAGGATCCCTCCCCTCCGTGCCTCAGGCGCCCCGCCCACTCCTGCTAAATGGCTGGGGCCAAGCCCTGAATCTCCTCCCTACCCGTGGGGAAGGCTGGGCAGGAGCCTTGCTTTTCTCATCATAAAATGGGTAATAACAGTCCCTCCCTGTAGGGTTGGTGCGGGGAAGAGTGAATGAGAAGTCAGAACCCTTCCCACAGCTGGGCACAGAGCACAGGTGGAGTGGCTTCAGCCACCCATCGACTCTCATGGGGAGTAACTCCGTGCTGAGTGCCCAGGAGCTGACCCTGATGTCAGAACCTGAAATACTGCAGAGTGTAAAAATCCTCAACAGCCCACTCCCTCGGAGCTGGGGGTCCACACGCACAGGGGCTGCAGTGGGAAGGGGGCGAGGTCTTCCTCATAGAGAAGGCAACCTTGGAGCAGGGCTGGAAGGAAGCAGGAGAGGCCCCGGGGCAGTGGAGAGAGCAGAGTGGCTAGAGTGGACTGGTTGAGGCCAGAATGGGACCACACCCCACCTGCTGCTCAAAGAACTCCGGGCTGGTGATGGCTGTGGAGGAGGTGAGAGGTGGCTGGATTTTGCATGTGTTGTCAATGGACTGTAGTGGGTGTGAGAGAAAGCAGGGCTCAGGGAGCACTGAAGATCTGGGCCTGAGCCCATAAGGAAGGAGGCATGGACAGGAGGAGAGGGAAAGATGGGAGCCCAGCTGGGGACGGGTTGAGTTTGAGACGATTTTCGACCCCAGTGGAGAGCCGAAGGGAGCTGGACACAAGGCAGTTCAGCACAGAGGCTCTGGGGCCCTGCAGCATGGAGACGGTCATGGGCTGGGCTCCCCCAGAGGGCAGGGAGGCTGGAGGTCGGATGAGCTGGGGGAACTGGCAGTGGTGGTGGAGGAGGGGCAAAGGACCCAGCACAGCCCAGAGCAGCAGACCATCGTGGAGGAGAGAAGAAGCCACGAAGGCAACTGTCACTCCAGTGGGAGGCCTGCCAAAGCGGACCACTGGAGGCAGCAGTGTGGGTTCAATGGGGACCTCAGGGAGAGGGGAGACAGCAGGAGGTTTTTTGTCCTTGCAATAGTTTGCTCAGAATGAAGGTTTCCAGCTTCATCCATGTACAAAGCACATGAACTCATCCTTTTTTATGGCTGCATAGTATTCCATGGTTTATATGTGCCACATTTTCTTAATCCAGTCTGTCATTGATGGACATTTGGGTTGGTTCCAAGTCTTTGCTATTGTAAACAGTGCCGCGATAAAAATACGTGTGCATGTGTCTTTATAGTATAGTCCCCTGGGGCCTGCTCCGAGGGCTGGGAGAGAAGGAAAGAGATGGAAAGAGAGGAGGCTGCAAGGTGAGGCAGCTGCTCAGAGCTCCGCCCTCAAATATGTGGGAGTAGCTGTAGGGGAGGGTCAAGAGAACGCAAGAGAAGTAACAGGATGTGAGCATGCTCCATTGCCACCCCCTCAAAAGGGGATTGTGCAGAGAAACGGGGAGAGAGGAGCACTGGGAGCTTGGTCCAGTGGGTGCCCCCACAGAAGGGGACTGTGCAGAGAAACGGAGAGAGGAACATTGGGAGCCCTGCCCTTGAGGAGGCAAAAGGTTGGGATGTGACGCAGGCAGGGAGGATGACTTGGGTAGGCGAGGACAGGTGGGCAGGCTTGGGGATGAGAAACTCAGCATCCTCTATGAACAGACACTTCTCAAAAGAAGACCTTTATGCAGCCAACAGACACATGAGAAAATGCTCATCATCACTGGTCATCAGAGAAACGCAAGTCAAAACCACAATGAGATACCATCTCACACCAGTTAGAATGGCGATCATGAAAAAGTCAGGAAACAACAGATGCTGGAGAGGACGTGGAGAAATAGGAACACTTTTACACTGTTGGTGGGACTGTAAACTAGTTCAACCATTGTGGAAGACATGTGGCGATTCTTCAAGGATCTAGAACTAGAAATACCATTTGACCCAGCGATCCCATTACTGGGTATATACCCAAAGGATTATAAATCATGCTACTATAAAGACACATGCACACGTATGTATATCGTGGCACTATCTACAATAGCAAAGACTTGGAACCAACCCAAATGTCCATCAGTGATAGACTGGATTAAGAAAATGTGGCACATATAAACCATGGAATACTATGCAGCCATAAAAAAGGATGAATTCATGTCCTTTGTACATGGATGAAGCTGGAAACCATCATTCTGAGCAAACTATCGCAAGGACAGAAAACCAGACACCACATGTTCTCACTCATAGGTGGGAATTGAACAATGAGAACACCTGGACACAGGGCGGGGAATATCACACACTGGGGCCTGTCGTGGGGTTGGGGGAGGGGAGAGGGATAGCATTAAGAGAAATACCTAATGTAAACGACGAGTTAATGGGTGCAGCAAACCAACATGGCACATGTATACATATGTAACAAACCTGCACGTTGTGTACATGTACCCTAGAACTTAAAGTATAATAAAAAAACAAAAAGAGAGAAAAGAAAAAAAAAAAGAGAGAAGCTCAGCATCCTCACACTAGCGGCGCTGGGGAGGGGAGGGATGGAGGAGGCAGAGGTTTACTAGGGGAATGTGGGGTGATTGTCAGGTCAAGCTCACAAACAAAGGAGAGATCTGGCAGACAGAGGGCTTTCCCATCCTCGAGGGAGCAGGGATGGAGCTGAAGGAAGAAGGAGTCTGGGGTTGGGGATGGGGGGGTTACCGACTGCCCTTGGGGACTGAAGTGCTCTGGGGAGAATTCGTGTGGACCAAGGGGGACAGTGGAAAGAAGGGGAGTGGGACCCCAAGACTGAGCTTAGGGAAAGGTCCAGGGGAGGGGGCGGGGGCGGTGTATTAGCATCTGGGGCTGCCATAACAAAGTATCCAAAACCCTGGGGGCTTAGAGCAACAGAAGCCTATTGTCTCACAGTTTGGGAGGCCAGAAGTCTGAGATCAAGGCTCCCTCTGAAACCCACGGGGGAGGATCCTTCCCACCTCTTCCAGCCCCTGGGAGCCCAGACATCCCTTGGCTTGTGGCCACATCACTCTGTCTTCCCATGGATTTTTACAACGTCATCCATCCGAGTGTGTCTGTGTCCCAAATTCTCCTCCTAATGAGGACACGGGTCACATTAGATCAGGGCCCTCCCTCATGTCCTCACTGTAACCTGATTAACCCCATTTCCTAAGAATGTCACATTCTGAGGTTCTGGAAGTTAACACATATGAATTTGGGGGGTACACAATGAAGCCCATAATAAGTTACATCACTGGAAGGAGAGTCGGGAACTCAGAGGCAGGGGCAGGGGGAGGAGCGGCTGCAGGGGGACCAAATCACAGAGAATTAGGGCAGGATATAAGGGTGTCCCTGGGACAGGATGCTGTCATGGACCTACTCCTCCGGAGGGGCTGAAAGGCTGGGGCCTCACAGAGCAGACTGTGTCCTGCTGGGCAATGGGCCACCTCTTGGAGGTCACTTGGGGGCCTTGGGACAATCTGTTGCTGGCCAGGACACTGCTGCTGGCGTCCCCCACAAAGTTTTGAATGAATGAAGACAAAATGGTGGGGGTCAGGTGCCTCTCTGGGGCGTGCCCCCAGAGGGGAAGGACCCTAGAGGCCACCCTGGGCTCCCGCCTAGGAGAGGAGTTGCAAGGACCTTAGAGACCACAACAGGCTTCCGCCTATGAGAAGAGGAGCAGGGTCCCCCTGGGAAGGGCCCCTCGATGGTCATACTGTGCAGTCAACAGAACCCAGGCCCTCGGTCCCCTCCCACCCCCTGCCCATCCAGGGACCCCAGATTCTAGGCCCTGCAGTCTTTCCCAGCCCCTCCCCCGGGCTCCCTCCTGTGTTTCAGTACCTGTCTCGGAAACTGGGCCTGGATTCCATTGCCTTCGGCTACCTGCAAACCACCTTCGGGGTGCTGCAGCTGCTGGGCGGGCCGGTGTTTGGCAGGTACAGTGTGTGTGTGTACAGGGGCTCTCCCCACAGTGACCCAGGCCCCCTCTCAGACGCCATGGGCTCAGACGGGCCAGGTTCCCTGACCCCACACCAGACCCCCCTGGGATGACGGCACTCCTGTGTCACAGGCCGATGGGGGTGCAGAAGAACTTTGGCCCCTGGTAGGCTCCCGGGTGTCCCACCCACGCCTTCCACTACTCCTGCCTGTGGCCAGAGAGAGAGTGTGACTGGTGAACACCTCGTGGCTGTAAGCACCAGCCCGTAGGCCTGCCGAGACCAGGCAGGAGGGACTTTGGGGGCTCCATACACCCCGGGTCTCAGTGCTGTGGGAACACTGAGCTTGAGAGAGGACAGGGACATCCTCCCACAAGCCACAGCAGACAGGGGAGCAAGGGACACGTATTGGGAGTTGCCTCTTCAGAGCAACCCGTAGGCAGAAATGAAGGGTTCCGCAGGCAGCAGACCAGCAGCGATCTCTGGGAGGGTTTCCAGTGGCCCAGAACAGAAGGGAGAAAGGCGCTGCTTTCTCAGACCCAACCTGACAAACGCCTTCTGTAAAACGCGGGCCCACCCTTTGGTCCCCTGGGATTCCACCATTTATTTTTACACGGAGTTGGTCTTTGCCCTGGGTCAGACTCCCAGCTCAGTGAAGCTGTCTGCGCACAGCCCCACTGGGACGCTGGGGAAACTGAGGCCCTGAGAGGAGGGAGGCCTCCCAGCAGCCGCCCAGGCGCCCCCGCCCTCCATCCCCATCCCGCACTCCAGCCTCCCTGGTCAGCCCCGCCTGGGCAGCCCCTGGACGGGGGGAAGGGGACACTGACCGCCTCCGTGAGGGTCCGACCCGCCCCTCGGCCCCCAGGTTCGCAGACCAGCGCGGGGCGCGGGCGGCGCTCACGCTCTCCTTCCTGGCTGCCTTGGCGCTCTACCTGCTCCTGGCGGCCGCCTCCAGCCCGGCCCTGCCCGGGGTCTACCTGCTCTTCGCCTCGCGCCTGCCCGGAGCGCTCATGCACACGCTGCCAGGTAGGGCCGGGGGACTGGAGTCCAGGTGGGGCCGGGTCGGGGGCAGCCTGCGGAGGACCCGGGACACCTCCAGGGAGGTCTGCGTGCGCGCGGGGTCTGGCCCTAAGGGCTGGACGGGGGTGGGGGGCGACGTGGGGCGTGGCTTGTGGAGGGGCGGGTCAGGGGGGGAAAGGCCCCACCGAGGGGCTTTCGCCGCTCAGCTCCCCCGCCCCGTCCCCAGCCGCCCAGATGGTCATCACGGACCTGTCGGCACCCGAGGAGCGGCCCGCGGCCCTGGGCCGGCTGGGCCTCTGCTTCGGCGTCGGAGTCATCCTCGGCTCCCTGCTGGGCGGGACCCTGGTCTCCGCGTACGGGTGAGTGGTGGGGGCCGGGGCGGAGTCTGTGGGTCAGGACGCCCGCGGCTGGGTCGGCCCCGCCCCGCCTCCTCTTGGCCTCGGTTTCCTCTTTTGCTCGTGGGGCGCGAGTGGCCACGTGATGTGGCTACTGGGGACGTCTGGCCCCGCGCGAGGCCTAGGCCTGACCTCCCGGGCTGGCTGGCCCTGGATAGGGCCAGGTGATGTCCCAGTGCTGTCCGGGGCGCGACTGGACTGCCAAGCTGTCCACGCACAGCCCCACTGGGACGCTGGGGAAACTGAGGCCCTGAGAGGAGGGAGGCCTCCCAGCAGCCTCCTGCTGGGGACAGGAGCACCCTGGGGCTGGGATGCTGTGGCAGCGGGGCTGAGCTGTTGGACGGTGCCCAGAGCACACCTCCCTCTCCGGAGGTCTCTAGGGCTGTGCTGCCGGCCTTGTTTGAGTCCCCGAACGTTCTCCCAGCATTTTCACTGGAGCCTGGGCTGGGGACTGATGGCTGCTGATGGCTGTGAGCAGGAGGTGGAGTGGGGTGGGGTGGGTAGTTTGAACACCTCAACATGGCCCCCAGGACTCTGGTTCTAGAATACAGCGGCAGACAACACAGGCTGAGTCCCTGGGATGAAGGGAATGTGATAGGAATTCCCGTAACATCAGGCTGAGCTACATGGAGCAAAAAGTCACAAAGTAGAACTGGGGGCTCGATGGATGGGATCACTAGGGCCTGTCTGAGGAGGCGGCATCTGAGTCGAGGCCTGAAGCAGGAGAGGGAGGCAAAGAAACCACGGTGCAGAGGCCCTGGGTGTGGAAGCCAGGGGGCCGTGTGGCTGGAGGGAGGAAGAAGGGGCAGGCACCAGGCCGGGGTGCCCTGGGTGGCACAGCAGGGGTGAGAATGGGGGGTGAGCTCCCCTGCAGGGAGACCGGTAGGACAGCCATTGTGCCGGCCGAGGTGGGGGAGGACAGTGGCTGGACCAGAGGGGACCGTGATGAGAGAAAGCAGAGGGTAGATTCTGGCTGGGTTTTGCCAGTGGGTGGGATGTGGGTGTGAACTCAAGATGGCAGTGCCAAGGCCGTGCCTGACCCTGGGGAGCCTGGCGCCTTGCGCAGAGGCCCAAGCAGCCTGGGGTGCCACTGGGATTTGGGTCTTGTTCAGGCCCAGCCTGGGTGCCTGTCAGGCACTCCAGGGAGCTACTGAGTAGGCACCCAGATAAGGGGGAGAAATGGGGTGCATCTTCAAGTGTGGATGGCTCGGAGCCCTGCGCCCCCCAGCACTTCATGTTTCGGGGCTGGGAGGTGAGGAGGGAGCACGTCCTGGGAGCCAAGGGCCACTGGATTTGTGGGGGTCAGGGACCCGTGCCTCTACCGCTGGTGGCCAAGGAAGCCACAGTGGCCCACCATCTGCAGCAGGGAGGCCACCCCAGTGCTGGACCAGCACCACCCCCTCAAGTCAGTGCCAGCCGCAGAAGCCTCATGCAATAGACGGATCAAGGGAAATGGGGAGAAAAGAGAGGGGGTCGGGAAGTCGTGCTATAAATGGGGGCAGAGGTGGGTCCAGGAGGCTATGCTCAGGGTGGGAGGAGCCATGGGGAGGCGCCCCAGGGAGAGGGAAGGGCTGATGTGGGAGCCAAGCACACTGCTGGGAGGGTGTCCCTGGAGGATGGGGCTTAGGGCACTTGTGTGGGCAGCTCTGGTGGGACAGCAGGGAGGGCTCACCCTGGGGCCAGGGGGCTGGCAGGTGTGAGGTGTGGGGAACCGGCACCACCCAGGGCCTGTCTCTCCAGGGTGGCCAGGGTGAGGAAGGGCGTGAGGAGGGCACGGGGAGGAGCATTGGGCCCCAGCAGGTGGCTGAGCTGGGCGGCTGCCATCCCAGGGTGCTGCCCACCCCCAGGTACTCTGCCCGCTCAGGGCCCAGCCGCCTGCTGCCGCCTCCTTCCCTGGCCAGCCTTCCTCACCTATGAAATGGGCCCTCCCCTGCCCTTACTCACCCACAACGATGCTGGGAGGGTCCGAGCTCGCTCAGGCAGTAAGCCGTGGCCATGGTGCTGGAGCAGCTCAGCACACATGCCTCCTGCAGGCCCGTCTACGAGGCCACAGGTCCCCTCCTGTCCTCACCTGCCCTTTCCCCCATCACAGCTGCTGACCCAGAAGACACCACTCATGTCCCTCTCCCTCCCAGTAGCTGCCAAGACGGCCTCTACCTCTGCCCACACCTGCCAGAACATTCCATTCGCTTCCCTGCCTCCATTCATCCCAAGATCTGAGGCGCTTTACAATCTTGACGTTTCATAATCAGACCAGCTGTGACATTTCCTTTGATGGGAGGGGTAACCGAGGCCCAGGAGATGATGAGGCTCCCTCCATGGAGCTCCCCAGTCCCCGTCCAAGGCCCAGGCAGTGTGGGACTCCCTCAGGTTCCTCATACCACACCCAAGACACGGGGTGCTGCTTGGGCACTGTGGCAAAAGCTGGCTGCCCAGAGTGGTGGTGGCACAGGAGGGCTGCGGGGTTGACCTTGTGGCTGGTAATCTGCCTTTGTCCAACCCAGACAGGGTGAGGGAGGCCCACACCTCCCCCTCGGGGGCTCACCGAAGGCAGTGGGGCCAGGTGCCAGCCAGGCTCCAAAGCCTGGTGCCCCATGGCAAGGGCCAGCCCCCTGGCCCTCTTGGTCCGGCTGCCCCAACGCCTGCAGCCTGTTCTGGCTCCTGGCCTGGTGCGGGGCAGGAGTCTGGTGCAGCTGTGAACATCCCCCGCCTTGCAGCCTTCCTGCCCTTCCTTGATGGAAACCGAGGCACAACATGTGTGGGCTTTCCCTCCCTGCCCACCCACCTGTGTATCCCATTCCTCTGGAAGGCCCCAGTCCTGCCTCATCCGCACCCACCTGGGCAGCAGGTGGGAGGAGGAAGTGGACTTGGCACCCACAGGCTGCGGGGGCGGGCACTGGTATAACTGGTTTGGGCCCAGCCTCCAGAGCCCAGGGCTGAGAGGCCAGGCTGGCCTGAGGAGGGACCCGGGACCTGAGTCACTGCACACACGCTGGGTGGGGGGTGGCTCTGTGACTCATGTTCTGAGCCCAGCCCCTCACAGACTGGGGAGGGATGGGGAGGGGCCATAGAGTCCTATCCTGAGCCAGACAGCAGGGAGCCCTGCAGGGTTTGCCTTCCCCGGGTGGACAGGCAGCCACCAGGGCCATGCCGGTGCCATGGGGGTGCCAGGGCCCTGTGGGCAGGACACCCCTGCCCAGCCAAGAAAAAACAAGGAGCCAGGGGCACTGGAGCTCAGAGAGGGAGGAGGGGATGGGAGGGGAGGTGAGCAGTGTCCCATACGACCCAGGGCACCCCAAGCGCTGAGCGGAGGCTGAGGAGTGCAGGGGTGTTTGTAACAGGGCACCTGCTGTACAGGGAAGAGGCTCTCGGGGGCAGATAGATGCAGGGCAGGGGCTGGCAGGCAGCTGAGGGAGCAGCAGGATATGGGCGACCCAGGCCCGCCGCCCCCCCAGCCAGGTGACTCAGCTACTGCCTTAGTTCGTGTACCTCGCAGTGCCCAGGACACTCCGGTTCTTTCTGTTCTTCCCACAGTGGGCAGGCAGCAGGCCCCGCTGAGATGGTTCTGGCCCCGCTGTCCCTCAGGACAGCCCTGTTGAGCAGCAGGCTGGACAGGCCTCCTGCTGGGCCCGTGAGTCACTCCAGTCTCAGAGCCCATTTGGGGCAGGAGGGAGCTTGTGGTTTGGTTGGAGGGCTATGTGTTTGGGGAATGGGGGGACCACGTACGAGGAGACACGAGGACTGGGAAGGGTCAGGCCAGAGGGCCTTTATGACCTTCTGGGGCACGCTGGAAGCCAGACGGCAGCTGCGTTAGGAGTGGCATGGCAAGATGTTCATTTTCAAACATGGTTCTAACTGCAGCATCCTGGAGCACGGATGACTTCTCTCAGCCCTGGGCTGGACATCCAGGGACGCTCTGGACAGCCCCCTGCCCCATCGTCTTGTGAGCTAGGTGTCCCACAAAGCCAGGTCCCAGCTGACCTAGCCTCAGCCCCACCTGTGGGTTCGCTCCTGGCAGCAGGATGACCTGGGCACATGCTGTCACCTTGTGCGTCCCCTTTCAGAGCCTCAGAGTAAGGTGAGGCTTGATGAGGGCTTGTCACCGTAGAACACACAGAAGCCCAGACTTCAGCAGAGGTTCCTGGAGACGCGATTGAAAGCCAACTCCACGCCCTGCTATCTGGGCAGCCTCAGGTGTGGGCTGCGGTTGGTGGGCAGGATGCAGGTGGGCTGCGCCCTGCAGGTCCAGAGGGGCCCCAGAACAGTGGAGTTAGGGGCAGCGGCAGCTGTGAACCCAGCCCTCATTTGCATATAAGGAAATGAGGTCACCTAGCAGGTAAGCGGCAGAGAAGGGACAGAGGCTGTGGGTCCCCTGAGTCCTGTCCAGTGTCCTTTCAACAGCATCCAGACAGACACTCCTGTAATCCATTCAACTGAAAGAGCAGGAGGAGACAAAGACAAATTAACCTGTCCCCACCTTCCTGGTCGTGGCTCCACTGATAAAAGTGTTGGATGAGCCCCGGGAAGCCAGCGTGCCCCTGCGTCTGGCAGGTCGTGGTGAGGTTGAGGGGGGCTGAGCAGGAGGGGCTGACGGCACCGTGCTAAGGGTGCTTCCAGTCAATGGTCCCGGGGGGATGCCCAGGCTGTCCGGCGTGCAAAAGCCCCAGGGCTGGGGCCAGCGTGCTGGATTTCCTTCCCACTCCCGTTTCCCTCCTGGCAGTTCATTTTTGGGGAGCAGGAGAGCTGTGACTGGGGAAGGACAGCCTGCGTCTCCCCCAGCAGCCACCCACTGCCCCTGGCACAGTGGTGGGACCTGACTCCCTACCTCCTGGGGCCCTCCAGGGTCCCCCAGCCCCAGGCTTTCCTGTTGCCCACAGCAGCACAGGCCTTTGGTTTACCCGCCACCGCTCGAGGGCCTGGCTTCCTGCCACCATGCCTTGCTTGTCACCAGCCTCCTAAAATAGCCATCGAAGTGGTGCGTCTGCTCCTGTGTACTTCTGGGACATCTGGCAAATAAGGCAGGTTTTGCCCCTGCCCAGCCAGACCCTGAGCTGTGACACGCAGGCCTCTGAGGCCAGGGTACCAAAGAAAGGGCCCGTCTCTCTGGGGCTGGCCACAGGGGCCAGTTGTCCCTCCTGCGCCATACATCTGTGCCTGCTGGCTGGAGGGACAAGCTGTGGCGCCCGAGCCCAGCCGTTCCCCTTCCCTGGCATTTTCCCAAAGGAAGGGCCCATTCGTGCGGAACCCCAGCAGCCAGAAAACCTGAGTAGCTGACGTCCTGGGCGGTGGGTGCTGCAGGAGTCGGAGCTGCCCTGATGGATTGGCGGGGGCAGCAGCACAGGTGGGGTGGATATGCCAGCACCCCCCTAGACTGATGTGAGCTTAGGGGTCCCACCTCAGAAATGAGGGGTGGCCAATGCCCAGACTCTCTGGACTCAGAGGTGGCCCCACTGACTATCCTAGTCAGTGTGGCTCCAAGTCCCCTCCTTGCTCTGGCAAACGGATGCAGGTAAGTGTGTGTACAAGTTTGCCCGTGTGTGTGTGTGTGTGCGCATGTGGCTGCGGTGAAGAGGGGCGAGGAAAGTCCTTTCTTTGAACTCCTTGGTGGGGACATGGTGGCCTGTGGCTGGCCTTGTTTTTGGGTGCAAGGGCATCTTCCAGGACCCTGACCCCTACTGGATGCCTGTGCCCTGAGGCCCTGGCCAGGGCAGATTTGGAGGATCTGTTGAGGTTGGGGCAGAACTTGTGCTGCGTGTGTGAATGGCTCACACATTTGTCCGATCATCTAATGATCACTGCGGTCTCCGCGCAGGGTCCAACCCTGGACCACCTGCCCTCAGGGGCCAGATTCTAGCCAGCTGGTAAAGCAAGTCCTTCTCAGATGGCATGCTGTCTGGGAAGGAGGGCTGGGGCCTCACCAAGAAGGGCCCTTGCAGGCTGTATAGGAGTTTGCTCAGCTGCTGAGAGGAAGGCCGTGGCGGTCCGGCACAGGCCTGGAGGCCTTACAGACGAGCTCAGTAGGAAGCCCCAACTTCCTCCTGTCTCTCCCCTGAGGGGAGGGGGCTGGCTGAGCCCCCAGGAGGCAATGGTGACAGTTGGAACAGCCAGCTTCAGGTGCTTCCGTCCCCAGGAGACAAGACCTGCCGATTCCTTCCAGGGGAATCACAGGCCAAGTTTCCAGGTGGGGACTCATGGCAGGGAAGCTGACGGTACAGCCAGAGTCCCAGGCCTTGGTAGTGGCCCAGGAAGGTGGGAAGGTGGCAAAGCAGCCTGAGGGGCACCTCCGGGGCTTTGCAAGGCTCTGGGATCCCAGCCCAAAGCCCCCTCCAAGCCCAGCATGCCCCACACTCTAGAAAGTGGGGAGGGGCCAACAGGAGGGGGGTCGGTTTCTGAGGGCCTGCTGAATGCCAGGCCCACCCTTGCCCACGCTGGGGAGGCAGCATTGCCATCCCCATGACACAGCACAGGTGCCCAGGTCTCGGAGAGCCCCTCCCAGGGACATGCACACCAGGCTTGCCCTTTGGAGCCTCTCCTGACCTTGGCCAGCGTGGGAGCTGCTGTTCCTGGGAGGATCCGCCACCTGCCCCAGGCGCTCACCAGCCTGGCTTCCACAGCTGCTACCCACAGGGGCTGCCGGGGCCTGCATGGCGTGGCAAGGGTCAGGGATGGTGAGCGCCCCACCCATTCCTTCATCCATCACCTAATAAATGTGCTCTGAGGGTCCCAGTCCCCACTCTTTAGGCCACAGACTGTGGGGATGTGGGAGGTCAGATTTAAGCTATTTTAGTGCAACCAAAGGTGCAGGTTGGGGGATGTGGCTGGGGCGCCTGGGCCCTGGGACCCGCACCCTGTGCAGCCGAGGCTGTTGCCCGCAGGATTCAGTGCCCGGCCATCCTGGCTGCCCTGGCCACCCTCCTGGGAGCTGTCCTCAGCTTCACCTGCATCCCCGCCAGCACCAAAGGGGCCAAAACTGACGCCCAGGCTCCACTGCCAGGTAAGCCCCGCCAGGTACACCCTGCCCAGATGCTGGGGCAATGGAAGGCATTGGCTAGGCCTGCGTGCTCCAGCCAAGGGGTACGGGGGGCCTGAGGGGAAATCTGGGGGCTACTCACACCCTCCTGCCTTCCTTGAACCCTTCCCAGCTGCTGACATCATAGAAGCCAAGTGAGGTGTGGTCATGAAGAGGTGGAAGTGGGGCTCCGGCAGGCAGGGAGGCCCAGAGAGGCAGGAAGGCCCAGACAGGGAAGGCGTTAGGAGGGGAGGCCCAGACAGGGAAGGTGCTAGGAGGGGAGGCCCAGAGAGGCCTGGGGAGGACCAGGAGGGACCCCCCAATGGGGTGGGTGGGCCAGCAAGGCTCCGGAAGCTCTGAGTGTCCAGGGAGAGGCGAGGGTGCTGCCCGAGGGGCACTCATTGGTGGAGGGCAGAGGATGGTCAGGCTGGTCCCATGAGGAGAGGCCAAGGTTCTTCAGAGGGGGTCCCCTCAAGGCTGGCCCCCTGCTGAACGCAGCCCCTTTGTGCCAGGCACGTGGCAGGGCCCATGCCTCGGTGCCTAGGGACTAAGAGCCCAGCCTGGGCCAGAGGGACCCACCTGGGACCATCCTGGGGCAGGAGGCTGTCATGGAATTAACCTAGAAAGTCCAGGGGGAGGGCCGGGTGGAGATGGGCCTGTGGCGAGCACAGCAGAGCCAGAGAGGCAGGAGCCCCTGAGACAATAAGGAGGAAGGACTCGGTGAGCCGGGCTGGGGGCCTGTGGCTTCGCACTCAGAGGTGCCCGGTGGGCCAGGCCACGGCGGTGACTTGTGGCCACAGAGAGTGGTACAGTATTGCCATTGTCTTCCTCTGGGCTGGTGGCCTGGTCATGCTCTGCCCCAGGCCCCAGGCCAGGACCATATAGGAAGCAGCTATTGGTCCCTTGTTCAGGGACTGCCGCAGGCCTCCGCCACTGCATGCCCAGGTTGAGGCCAGTCTACCTGCGTGCAGAGGATGCTTTTCCTAAGTGCCTCTGGGGATTCAGGGGGCCCCTAGGAATGCGTAGAAGTGTGCTGAGGGGCGGTGCCCAACCTGGCAGCTGGAAGCATCACCAGCTCCCATTCCCACAAGTGAGCGGTGCTGAAGCCAAGGAAGGAAGCTTTACCCTGGCGGGCGCAACAGGGCCCTCCGAATGGCGAGGCCTGCAGCCGGGCGAGGGGTGGGCATTGGGACAATGGCCTTTGCAGGCCTGAATGGCCTCTCCGTGCCAGGCGGCCCCCGGGCCAGTGTGTTCGACCTGAAGGCCATCGCCTCCCTGCTGCGGCTGCCAGACGTCCCGAGGATCTTCCTGGTGAAGGTGGCCTCCAACTGCCCCACAGGTGAGTCCCAACTACTGCCCCAACAGCGGCCAGAGCCTGGCAGAGTCCCAGCTGCGGCCAGGGCCCAGCCCTTCCTCTGGCCTGTGCCCCACAGGTCCACACAGATGTGGTAGAGCAGGCAGGAGCGGGAGGAAGGCAGAAAAGTGTCTTTCCCACCTCCTTCCAGCCCCTCTACACTGCACACCTGCAGATCCCAGGGTGGGCCCCCACGGGCAGAGGGCCTGGCTCGCAGCCATGCATCCCTGTGTGCTCCTCAGCTCTTACCCTCATACCCTGTGGCCCCACGTCCTCTCCAGACAGCCTGAGATGCAGGGACAGCAGGTCTGAGTGTCACCACTGCCTTCTGCAGCATGCTGGCCCTGGGCCCTCTCAGCAGACCGTAGGGCGTCACGGACCACAGATAGGATAGCGAGCCACGGACAAGCCCACGAGCAGCCCTGTCCCTCAGAAGCCCCGCCTGGACTCCTCTAACTGAGAAGCCAGGAAGCAGGATGGAGAATAGGCCCTCAGCACTCCAACTGGCACCGGCCCCTGTCCCACCCAGCCCACCTAGGCCAGCTCTGTTGGTTCTCAAAACTGGAACCCAAGTTACTAACCTCAGTAACAGGCCCTTTGAGGGCCCTTTTTTTTTGAGACCACTGACCAGGCTGGAGTGCAGTGGTATGATCTCAGCTCACTGTAGGCCCCACCTCCCAGGCTCAAGCAATCCTCCTGTCTCAGCCTCCCGAGCAGCTGGGACTACAGGCATGGGCCACCACGCTCAGCTAATTTAAGTGTTTGTAGAGACAGGGTCTCACTATCTTTTCCAGGCTGGTCTCAAACTCCTGGCCTCAATCAGTCCTCCCTCTTCGGCCTCCCAAAGTGCTGGGATTGCAGACGTGACTTTGAGGGCTCTTATAACAGAGAGCCATGGTGGGTCTTGGGGGCCAAATCCTCCCACGTGGTCAGCCCTGGGTCCCTCCCTTCCAGCACCTTCCTGCTCACAGTCCAGAGCTTAGCAACCACACGAGAGGCACTTTCCACACCAGGGATACGGCAGAATCCCAGGGAAGGGTCTCATTGGCCCGGCTGGCATCACAGGCCCCTCCCTGAACCAGTCACCAGCCAGGGCCCAGACACCCTGATTGGCCAGGCTGCTGAGGCGGGAGGGAGGTGGGCGCCAAGGCCGGGGTGTGGGGGTACTCAACCCTGTTCCCCTGCCCCGGCTCAGGGCTCTTCATGGTCATGTTCTCCATCATCTCCATGGACTTCTTCCAGCTGGAGGCCGCCCAAGCTGGCTACCTCATGTCCTTCTTCGGGCTCCTCCAGATGGTGAGTGGGCACACAGGGCCTGCTGGGGGGCACGGCAGGGGTCTCCAGTGGGGCAGGCCTCTGAGAGTAGAGGCTCCTCCCCGGCGGAGGCTGGGGAGCCCTTGGCCTCCCATCTGGCACATGTCAGGGTCCACAGGGAACCAGGCATACAGGCCAGGGAGGGAGAGCCAACTGCAGTGGTGGGCACGCTGTGAGGACAGTGGACTCCGGCCTCTGATGGGCAGCTGGCTGGGATCTGTGGCAGCCCACCTGCCCACCAGCTGTGTGACCAGAGCAAGTCTCCCAAACTCTCCAAATCTGTCCCATGAGGCCAAAGTGCCCGCCTTGCAGGGTCCTTGGCAGATGAGATGACCTAACGTGGCAAAGTGGTTAGACCAGCGTGGGCCCCTTTGGAGGTCCCATAGGAGCAAGACGCCAGCCCTCAGAGGCCACGCTGTCATGGTAGGATAAGACGCCAGCCCTCAGAGGCCACACTGTCATGGAAGGATGCCCTGAAACCCTGGCAGCTCCGATGCGGCAGGTGTCTGTCTGCCAGCCCCCCAGAACCGCTCAGCTCCCGGGCCGGGGCGAGACACCTCCACCACCAGCTCCTCTGGGCTTCTGGACCAGACCCTGGGTGGTGGGGACAGGTGATGATTTGCCACCACCCAGGATGGCTGCCTGACAGCCAGAGTGCGGGGCGGGGGGGTGCTATTCTGGGACCCGCCAGGGTGGGGGTGGGGGCTCTCGGCCTCTCCGGAAGCCTGTGGCATTCCTGGCACCTCCAAGCCATCTGCTCTTCAGCCTCTGGGCCCAGGACTAGACTAGTGCTAAAATAGCTGCTCCTGGGAGGGGCTGGACCCCCACCGTGGGCAGAGAGGGCCTCTGCTTTTTGGGGCAGGAGGGGCCACCCTGGCAGGGTAAAAAGAGATAAACAGAAAAACAACAGCAACAATAATAGTAACAATCCGGGGTTGTTGCCATGGGGCCTGTTCTGAACAGGCTGCGCCCAGCTCACTGCGAGGAAGGACGCTTAGCCAGGCCCTGGCTGAAGCCTGCAGCTGGGCTGGACACAGCAGTCATTGGCCTGTGTTGTGGGGGACTTGGGCCTGCCATGGCTGCAGTGGGGACCCTGCCTGAGACAGACAGAGCTGGGGTGGTGACCAACACCGTCGGGGCACCCTCGCAGGAACTGGGCCTGGTGAACTGCCCAGGGACGGGGAAGGAGCAGGGTGAGGCATGGGGACCCCGACACAGGTTGAGCAGCGGGAGAGGAGGCTGAGGAGGGGAAGGAGGGGGCCCGCAGAGTAGCCCCCAGACCCCAAGTCCGGTCAGGGACAAGCTTGTTAGCTCCAGGTTCATGTCACAACCTGCAGGGCTCCTAAGTTCAAGCTTTTTTAAACTTAATGGGCAAACTGAGACGCAACACAAATAGGCTTCTGACCTTGGTGTCTGAGTCCTGGATCTGAAGTCCTTCACGGCACTCACTGTGAGCCCCTCTTAGACGCACTGCACGAAGTGAGCTTGCCAGCTCTTCCTTTAAGAAACGTGTTAGGCCGGGCGCGGTGGCTCACGCCTGTAATCCCAGCACTTTGGGAGGCCGAGGCGGGCGGATCCCAAGGTCAGGAGATTGAGACCATCCTGGCGAACATGGTGAAACCCCGTCTCTACCAAAAATACAAAAAAAAAAAAAAAATTAGCCGGGCCTGGTGGCAGGCACCTGTAGTCCCAGCTACTCGGGAGGCTGACGCAGGAGAATGGCGTGAACCCGGGAGGCGGAGCTTGCAGTGAGCCGAGATCGCGCCACTGCAGTCCACGCTGGGCGACAGAGCGAGACGCCATCTCAAAAAAAAAAAAAAAAAAAGGTGTTAAAATCCCAAAAAACCCTAAGATAAAGCAAGTGTGAAAGTAAGATTTTTAAACCATTTATGGTTCCGGTTGGAAGCAGTTTCTGTTCTGCCTGGCAGGAATTTGGGAGAGTGACTGGTCCCCTGCAGAGGTGCTGCAGGCTGGGCCTGCCCTGTGGGCAGATACTGAGCCCAGGGGCTCCTCCAGCCGGGGCCACCCCTGCACTCCCAGGCGCGTTGGCCCAGCACGCCCTGCTTAGTGGAGGAGCTGAGATGACCAGATAGAGAGCCTCGCCCTGGCCTGGGAGCAGCCTGCGGCCAAGCCTGTCCCACCGAATCCATCCCCGGGAGCAGCCTGCGGCCGAGCCTGTCCCACCGAGCCCATCCCCGGGAGCAGCCTGCGGCCGAGCCTGTCCCACCGAGCCCATCCCCGGGAGCAGCCTGCGGCCGAGCCTGTCCCACCGAGCCCATCCCCGGGAGCAGCCTGCGGCCGAGCCTGTCCCACCGAGCCCATCCCCGGGAGCAGCCTGCGGCCGAGCCTGTCCCACCGAGCCCATCCCCGGTGTCCCTGGTGTGGGCCTTTCCTTCCTCCCTTGTGGAGAGGAGCCCCGACTCCTCAGGGATCTCAGACCCATCCTGACGCAGTCACTGCTGGCGGAGTAGGGAGAGACCCCGGGGCTTGCAGATGCTGAGGGGCCTTCTCTGCAGAGGGGCCCTGGCCACCACAGGCCAGTCTGGAGGTCCCCAGCTTTGGGGGCTGGCCACAGTCCAGACGCCCCTCCCTCGCCTCCCCCATACCCACTTCTACCCTCTCTGTCTGGCTCTAGGTGACCCAGGGCCTGGTCATCGGGCAGCTGAGCAGCCACTTCTCGGAGGAGGTGCTGCTCCGGGCCAGCGTGCTGGTCTTCATCGTGGTGGGCCTGGCCATGGTGAGGGCTCCCCGCTTTGGGCCCACTCACCTGACCCTCTCACTGGGCAAGGCCACCTGGGCGGTACCATCTGTGCTTAAGCCCTTGGGGACTCCTCCAGCCCCCCACACCCACCCGGGGCCAGCTCTTCAGCAGGGACAGCAGTCAGGGTGGGGAGGGACAGGTAAGACCCCAGAGAGGAGCCTGGTCCCGTGAGGCCCCCACTCAGCTCGGCCCCCGCCTGCCGTCCCAGGCCTGGATGTCCAGCGTCTTCCACTTCTGCCTCCTGGTGCCCGGCCTGGTGTTCAGCCTCTGCACCCTCAACGTGGTCACCGACAGCATGCTGATCAAGGCTGTCTCCACCTCGGACACAGGTGAGTGTGGCCAGCGAGTGGAGCAGCCTCCTCCAGGAAGCCCTAGGAGCTACCCGGTGGGGATGGGGTGGGCAGCCTAGGGTCTGTGTGGGGTGGGTAGGGTGGGGGGCCTGGGGTCTGTGTGGAGTGTGTGGGGTGGGTGGGGTGGGGGCTTGGGGTCTGTGTGGGATGAGTAAGGTGGGGAGCCTGGGTCTTGCATGAGACTCCTGCCCTACCACCTAGCCCAGCTGGGGGCAGGCCAGGGGCCTGGGAGGGGGCTGCCCGCAGGTGGCAGTTGGCTTGGCCCTGAGAAGCACCTGAGGACTTTGCCTGCCAGGCCTGGAGGCCCCGGGGACTTCTGGGCCCTCCCCCAGCACGGGGAGTGGGGCACACAAGTGCTCAGGAGCTTCCTGAATGAATGAGGGAGTGAATGAATGCATACCAGTAATTAAATCCAGGAATCCCCTAGGCCACTGCAGGGGACACAGGTCCCCTAGACATAGATTCCCCCAGTCCCCACTTCCGACCCAGCTTTCTTTCTTGAGGCCTAAGAGAGCCGCTCATGCAGACTGGGGGTGTCCTGGGCCCGATGTTATCCAGGCTCCTGCCCCACCCCAGGCACAGTGTGGGTACACACTGGCCAGTGCAGGGGGCTCCTGTGGGCTGGTTGAGGTCAAAGGACTCAGGAGTCCTTTGGAGTACTGGAGATTCTTCCAGGCCTCCCCAGCAGCAGATCCAGAAAGCTCAGGGCACACATCTGACACTCCATCCACCTGCCTGTCTGGGAGGCAGCAGATCCAGAAACTCAGGGCACACATCTGACACTCCATCCACCTGCCTGTCTGGGAGGCAGCAGATCCAGAAACTCAGGGCACACATCTGACACTCCATCCACCTGCCTGTCTGGGAGGCAGCAGACCAAGGTCTAGAGGCCCGGATGTGGCCGGGCTGCAAAGGGCAGGCCTATTCTCAGGGCTGCCTGGGAACCTCCAAGGCCTTCGGGGACTGTGACTCCATGGTGCATGGGCTGATGCAGGCTGAGCCAGGAGGGCTTCCTGGAGGAGGTTGGGCAGCACTTTGGAGAGGCCAGGAGGATGGCACAGGAGAGGAAGGCCTGGGGAGATGAGGACCCGGCCTGGCTGGGAAGAGGCCCCTGGAGGCTGAGGGAGACCAGGCCCAGGCCATTGGGCCACGTCATGCGCAGACACCACCCCTGGCCTGGTAGGAGCCAGCATCTGGTTCCCAGCAGCAGCTTGGAAACCCAGCGACAGAAGGGGCAGGAACTGCACCCTGAGTCTGCAGAAGAGGCTGCTCTTAATGGTCCTCCATGCTGGGCCCTGAGCCCAGGTGGGGCCTGGCCAGCTCCTCATCACAGCTGACCAGCCCTGGGAGTTCCAACTCCAGGAGACCTGGGCTCTGAAGTCCCTGGAGCCAGAGACCCTCTGGGCACGGGACCAGAGGCAGTGTCCTCCCACCTGGAGTCCTGGGGGGTCCTCCCGCTTGGCGAGTGCTGCCCCCCTTGTTGCCCGAGTGTTGACAACAGCCACAGATAGTGCCCACGTGCCCGTCCATGCTGCGGGTAGCTGGCCACAGGGGCGTGGAGATGCGGTGTCAGGGACAGAGCAGGCTGCTGCGCAGGTCGGGGCTGTCTGGGGAGCCTCGGAAGCCGCTCGGTCTTGCTCTGGGGACAGGAGGGGCAGGTGGAGGGGCCNTGCATGGGATTCCAAAGCCCCTCCCAGCCATGTGAGGGGGAGTTCCATGGAGTAGTAGGAGCTCCGCAGGGTGGGGCGGCTGGAGGAAGGGCTGATGGCCAGGAGGGGCCGTGGGATGGGGGTGTCATGCCCACTCTGAACTCAAGCCCCAACGGTGTCTCACAGGCCAGGCTTAGCCTCCCCACTGCATCACCAGCCCTCGGTGGTGGCAGGCACCCTGGGAAAGAGCCCGTGAGAGCCAGCTCCCTGACAGCCTGGGCGGGAGGTTCCGGGCCCCAGGCACAGATGCCATCTCCCTTGGCAGGCCTGGCAGGGCGGGGCCTTCTGCGGTGACCTGTGGTCCCATTCCCAGGCTCCTCCTGTGCTTGGAAACTTTCTGGAGCAGGGAAGAGACTCAGCCCAATGCCCTGGGAAGCACCCTGCATGGCTGAGAGGTCCTCGGGGAACAGACCAGTGGGTAGAGAGAGCTGTGTTTGCTCCAAAGGCTGGGCGGGTGGCAGGGGGTGGGGGACTGGAGGTTAGAAGCTGGCAGGTGGAAAGGATGGGTGTTCAGGGGAGTATTTCACCAGACTATGCAAGGTGCGGACTGCGCCGTGAGGTCAGGGTGGGTCAGGAGAGATGGGAGGCCATGGCTGTGTTCAGGAAGTGGGCAGTTGGCCCAGGGAGCTGCCCAGGGCCTGACTACCCCCATGCACCCCCCAGGGACCATGCTGGGCCTCTGCGCCTCTGTACAACCACTGCTCCGAACTCTGGGACCCACGGTCGGCGGCCTCCTGTACCGCAGCTTTGGCGTCCCCGTCTTCGGCCACGTGCAGGTTGCTATCAATACCCTTGTCCTCCTGGTCCTCTGGAGGAAACCTATGCCCCAGAGGAAGGACAAAGTCCGGTGACCGCTGCCCAGACACAGACTGGCAATAAACTCCTACTAAATCCCTCCGACCTCTTCCGGCCTGGTTTCTGCAGGCTCACGCATGGTCTGCCTGCGTCCTTCAGTGAGGGATGGGGCCTCGGGCTGGAGGGCTTCCTCAAGGAGGGCGCCTACAGCTGGGCAAAGCTCTGGGGAGGACAGAACCACCCAAATTGGTTCACTGTTATTAGTACAGCCCTGAGTCCGCCCATGGAGGAGGTCCCCCTGCTGCCACACAAACAGCTCTTGCTCACATCCCAAGCAATGGCGAGCTCACTGCCCAACTCCCGCCCACAGTGTGCCTGCCCAAGAGCAGAAACAGGTTGCTTTAAAAGATCAGGGAACCTGGCTGGGCGCAGTGGCTCACGCCTGTAATCCCAGTACTTTGGGAGGCCGAGGCGGGAGGATCATGAGGTCAAGAGATCGAGACCATCCTGGCCAACATGGTGAAACCCCGGCTCTTCTAAAAATATTTTTTAAAAAATTAGCTGGGTGAGGTGGTGCACGCCTATAGTCCCAGCTACTCGGGAGGCTGAGGCAGGAGAATCGCTTGAACCCGGGAGGCGGAGGTTGCAGTGAGCCAAGATCCCATCATTGCATTCCAGCCTGGCAACAGAGCGAGACTCCATCTCAAAAAAAAAAAAAAGATCAGGGAACTGAGGCCTTCCTAGATGGAAGGAAAAATGCCCTCATCTGCTGAACAGTCCAGCACACAGACCCAAACCCTGGTCGCAGAACTGTACCAAGGAGGCTGCCAGCCACCCGAACCCCAGAACCGCACCAGACACTGCCAGCCACCCGAACCCCAGAACCGCACCAGACACTGCCAGCCACCCGAACCCCAGAACCGCACCAGACACTGCCAGCCACCCGAACCCCAGAACCGCACCAGACAGTGCCAGCCACCCGAACCCCAGAACCGCACCAGACAGTGCCAGCCACCCGAACCCCAGAACCGCACCAGACAGTGCCAGCCACCCGAACCCCAGAACCGCACCAGACACTGCCAGCCACCCGAACCCCAGAACCGCACCAGACACTGCCAGCCACCCGAACCCCAGAACCGCACCAGACACTGCCAGCCACCCGAACCCCAGAACCGTACCAGACACTGCCAGCCACCCGAACCCCAGAACCGTACCAGACACTGCCAGCCACCCGAACCCCAGAACCGTACCAGACACTGCCAGCCACCCGAATCCCAGAACTGCACCAGACACTGCCAGCCACCCGAACCCCAGAACCGCACCAGACACTGCCAGCCACATGAACCCCAGAACTCCTCTGGTGTCCCCTTATCTCAGCCTCTTCATCCTACAGCTCAGTGGCCCCCAACATTTTCCGCACCAGGGACCAGTTTTATGGAAGGCAATTTTTCCACGGATGTGGGTGGGCCAGATGAAACTGTTTCACCCCAGATCATCTGGTATTAGATTCTCATGGGGAGTGCTCAACCTTGATCCCTCTTGTGCACAGTTCACAACAAGGTTCTCGTCCCTGTGAGAATCTACTGCTGCCGCTGATCTGGCGAGAGGTGGAATTCAGGCGGTCATGCTTGCCCCGCTGCTCACCTCCTGCTGTGCGGCCCAGCTACTAACAGGCTATGGACCAGTACCCATCCATGGCCTGGGAACTGGGGGTCCCTTCTATAGCTGATTTGCTGGCCAGGCCATGTACCGTTGCCTTCCCAGCCTCCTGACCACAGCACTTCCCGACCCCTCACCCCCACCCCCTGGTCCTGGGCTCTGGGGAGGAGAACTGGGCATGAGGAGGCCAGCCCAGCCGCTGTGACCGATTGACCCATCTGGAGAGGACAGGCTTTCCACAGCCTCAGCGAGGGTCTGCAGCTGCCCCTGAGACCATGAAGGCCGCCCCTCCTCTCCTCGGGCTGCTTTTAAAAGAAGCTGTTGAAACATGGACTCCCCAAACCTTAGAATTCCACTGTCCTCAGAATTTGAGGAATTCCAAAATTCCTCAAACAAGAAGTGGCCTCAGTGAGCCAAGGGCCATCCACCCTCTTCGCCTAAAGCTCAGGCCGGATCATGCCTATGCTTGAAGCACCCAGGGGCAAGGGCTCTCCTCTTGACCTTGGATATCCATCCAGGTGAGGCTCTGGTGGGCCAGCCAGGAGGCCCAGGAGCCCAGCCAGGCAGCGTCCTTGGCTGCTGTTTTCTGCTTTTTGCAGGAGCCCCTCCCCGATCTGCACAGGGGCTTCACAAATTGCGTTCGGGAGAAACTTCCTTGCAGGCAATAGTTTCTTCTGGACCTAGCACCAAGACTCCTGCGGGCCATGCAGCGAAGGGATAGCACCCTCCCCGCCCTGAGCCCAGACCAGCTACCAGGCTTCGTCGGCCTCCTAGCAACAGAGATTAGGGTCCAATTCTGGTACTTCTCTGCCTCCCCTACTGGCATCCCTCCAACCACGAAGGTTCCAGAAATGAAGGCCCCATTGTGGGGTGAGGAGTCATGCCTGTACCCCTTATCACCTCCTCAGCTTGTTCATCACCAGGAGCCCTTCTGGGTGGGGGACACACTTCCTGAACCCTAACTGTCTCAGACCATCCCTGTCTTTCAAAGAGCACAGCCAGACCGGAGGGCAGAAAGCCGTGGTCAGCTATCTCAGAAAGAGGGGCAGGGATTTGCTGCACTCAGGCCTCTCCACCCCAATGTCCTGGGCCAGTACCTGGAGGTGCAGGGACCTCTGCCTCCTGCCCCACCATCGGAGACAGCCCAGAACTCTCTCCTGTTCCCCCAGAAGCAAAGGCGACCCTGCCCGCCCCACACTGCGGGCACTGGCAAGGAGCGGCTGGCGGCGGGCAGCCAGAGGGCTGAGGGATTCCTTCTGGTCTGACTGCGCGGGTGGTTTGTGGGCAGGAAGTGCTGCTGGGGAAGGTTCCCCCACCACAGGCAGCAGCAGCTCGGACCCAGGGCCCTTGTCCTCCCCAGGTTCAATTCCTCAGGACACACCAAGGAGCAGAAGGTAGCCAGGGTCAAGCCCCAGGGCACTTCCTGGCCTCTGGGGAGGCTGCTTGGAAAAGAGGGTGTGGACCAGGCCCAGCAGATGACACGATTCATTTATTCATTCAAAGCCGGTTCCCAGCGCCTTTCACACCAGCCCCGCAGGACTGGATGAGGGTGTCCTGCCCGCCCATTCCTGGGCCTCCACCCTCCCAGCAGGAGTCTCACTGAGCCACAGCCGGATGGTAGAAAAGCAAACTGGCCAAGTGATTTATTTGCAATGGGCACAGTGATGCAAAAACAAGATATTAAGACTATAAAATATGTGACTACAAAGAACCAGCGAAATAAATACATAGATATTAGATAGTCCAATAACTTAAGGCGCCCGTGCAACGGAGCGAGGATCCGCGCGCACGGGAAGTTCTTCTGCTGCAGGGCTGGAGAGCGCCGGCCACGTCCTAGCCTCGGTCCGACTCGTCCAGCGTATGGCCCTGTGGGGAAAGGACTGGGTCAGAGAGCTGTGCCAGGGCCGGTCCGGGTCCAGCCTGAGGGGCCCCGAGACCCTGACGCGAGGGGGCCAGCGCGATTGCGGGGCGCCGGGTCCCCCAAGGAGGTGCAGCGCCCCCGCCCCGCCGTCTGGGGTTGAAGTGGTTTTTCCCAAAGGCCCCGGTCCCGGCTGTTAGGGCGCAGGGCTCGCCGGGACGCGGGCAGTCACTCACCGCGGCGGGCTCATGGCGTGCGGGGTTTGGGCTGCGGGGATGGCCTGGAGGGCTCCGAGGGCTCGGAGGGTGCGGCGGCCGCGGCAGCCACGGCGTCCTCGGCGGGTGCGGCGGGTGCGGTGCGTTCCTGGCGGCTGCGAAAGTCCTGCAGGGCGCGGCGGTTCTGGAAATCGATGAGCGCCAGCGCGATGGCCGCGTTCCAGCAGCTCTCGCCCGCGCAGCGGAAGTCGATCTCCTTGTGGTCGGTGGTGACGATGGTGAAGTACACGTACTTGCCCGTGCGCTCCACGCAGTCCACCTTGAGGATGGAGTGGAAGCGCAGCTCCTTGGGGCGCGCGCGGGGGCTGGCGGGGAACAGGCTCAGGCGGTCGGAGGTGAGCACCCCGCGCTTCTTCTTCCATAGCTGGAAGAGGCTGTCGCTGCGCTTCTCCAACTCGCCCTCGCGTAGCACCTCGTCGGGGGATTTCATGTCGTGCCGAGCGCGGGACTGGGAGCGGCAATGCGGGCGGTGACGGCGCCGGCTCTGCTCCTCGTGGCCCCGGCGCGGCCTTTATAGCTGCCCCTCCCCGCCCCGCCCCTCCCCGCCCCGCCCCGGCCCTCGGGCCACCCCGCCCGCCTGAGCCCCGCGCGCCCCGGGCCATACCCTCCCCAAGCCCAGCCGTCCGGGCCCGCACCGTCGCGTCCGCGCTCTGGTCGGTCCCCGGCCGTCCCCTCCCATCTCAAAAGCCCGCGCTCCTCTTGCCCCCCGTGCCCCAGCTGTCCGGCCCCGTGGGGTGACTCGAGGTCCCGCCCCGCCCGGGCGCTCGCCCGCACCGTCTCGCAGGCCGGCCCCGCGGAAGAATGCGCTGCAGCCAGCCCTGCCCGCGATGACTCACGCCGGGGAGCCCCGGGAAGCACCGGAGGGCCGGGGGCGGGCCCACCGTGGGGAGACAGCCGGGACCAGACCTTCACCCTCCAGGCGCCCCAAGTCCAGCCCTGCCGCTCTCGGGCTCCCGGGGCAGAAGGAGGGTCGAGGCCCCCTTCCTTACTCCCGAGCCCTGGCCGTTCCGTCCTGTTGGGGGGCCTTTCCCAGGGCCGCCCAGAGACCTTCTCCGAAAGTGGCCCTGCCCTAGCGGACCGAGCTCCTATCTTGCCACCCACGGGCTGCGCCAAGAACGACCACCTCTCTTAGCCTCGGTTTTCGCTTCTGTGAAATGGGAACAGTAACCTTTGCTGGATTAGGGAACACGTGGAAAGGGCTAGACCAGCAACCCATAGAGCTCAGAAAATGGAAGGGGAAGAGGAAGCCCGTTCTCCTCCCTGCGCCCTCGTAGTGTCCCGAACTGGGGTACGGACTGCTCCGACCGCGCCCCCACGACCCGGACCGGAGAGAGGTCCCAGGAGCTGAGGGGTTCGGGCTGGGCCGCGACGCCCGCTCTCTGGGATCAGCCTGGGGGCGAGGGTCGGCGGGGGCGGCTGAGTCATCGCTTTCCAGCTGGGCAGACGGGCGGTTTTATTTACCTTCTTCCTTTAAAGGGTTTAATAGACAGGAAGCGAAAGCCGGCTCTTCCCGGGTTCCCAGGGGTGGGGGTGGAGCCGGCCGAGAGGACCCCAGAGACCCCGGCTACTACTCCACGTCTCCCACCTTCCCGCACCCCTGCCCCCTAGATGCGCCCTGGGGTGGTTACAGCAGGAAGTCCCAACTCTGGGGTCAGAATTGGCCTCAATGACGGGGCTCACGCAAAATGAAAACGAGAGTCCCCTGATTCAAAATGTATTTAAAATGTCAAGACAGTGGCAGCAGAGCGTAAAACCCAGACCTGGGACCAGCCCTACCTCCACCTGCCCTTCAGGGTCACTGTAAAGGATAAAGAGACGTCCGGCTCAGAGGAGCGCCCCAGACCCGGTTCTGTGAATGGCATGCAGGTAGCAGCTGCCCGGTGGTCCCACCGGTGTGGCCAGAGGACCTGGCAGTGGGCAGGGATGTGGTGTGGAGGGGCAGTGCCGGCAGAGGGCAGGGTTGGGCTGTGCCAGGGTTCTGGCCTGGGAGTGAGACACCTGCCTGGGGCCGGCGGGTCAACACTGCCCCCTACCTGACACCTGTCCTTGCAGCAGGGCTGGGATCCTGTGGTGAGGGAGCAGCAGGTAGGGTGGGTGGGTGAGGGGAGGTCAGCCTTTGGCGGGGAGAGGGGATTCGAGCATTGTTCCGGAGAGGCTGCAGGAAGGATTCGGACTCTGGTGTCCCTTCTTTTGCTTCCAGAGGGCCCTGGGCTGCCGGACAGTGGGACCTGGGCAAGAGGCACCTCTGGGCAGTGGGAGACCAGGAGAAGAGGCCGGGGGCAGAGCGCTCTGTCTCTGCGCCAGCCCACAGGTGCCTGGAACACTTCCAGGCCCACCAGCCTGCCTACCCCATTGAGGGGCCAGCCAGTGGAACTTCGGCTCCAGGCAAATCCCCCGACACTCGTGGTTGCTTAAGCACCTACTGTGTGCCTGCAGGCCTGGCTGGTGCTGGGACCCCAGAGGAGGGGAGAGGAATCCCTCTAAACCCCAGGGGCACAGCAGGTACATGAGGATGGGGATAGGGGTCGGGGGTACTGGAGGCCAGGAGGACAGCTTGGAGGACTCTGTGGGGAGGGCGTGCCCTCGAAGATTCCAAGGAGACCTTGAAGGGCCAGTGGTGCCCGTATGCCACCACTGTGCCCAGCCTCCACCTAACCCAGAGAACTCCCCAAAGTGGGCACTCCAGCCCCTGTTCCACAGAAGAGGAAACTGGTTCAGGATGGAGAGGGCCTTGGGGAAGGGACAGAGAACAGGCAGGAGCAGATAAGGGGCTGAGAGAAATGAGGGGGAGGAAGAGGGTTTGGAAACCAGGTGAGGCCAGGTGAGGTGTGCTCCCCCAGCCCCGCCCAGCTCCTCTCTTTGCCTGTACCCCAGTGGCCCTCTCAAGGGAGGCTGGGAAACTCACTCCCCTGGGGGCAGGACTTACAACCCAGGGGTGATGCTCTGACAGGTGGGGCAGGAGCTGGGAGGCCAGGGGGCAGGGTGTGCAGCCGAGATTCAGAGGCCCTGCCCTCCCTAGGGGATTTCCTGCCCACTCAGCCCCTCTCTGCTATTCCCCTCATGGACACTGTGAAGACCTGGGGGGTATGGGGGTGGATGGCCCTTTAGGGGCTGCTGGAAATCAGGTCTGAGCCCTGGAGGCCAGGCCTCCCCAGGCAGCTTCTCTGCCCACAGTCCCTGCCCCAGGGGCTCAGTTGTAGTGGCCCTGGCCTCCCCAGCAGCTGCTAGACACCCTGGGCCCCTGCTCGGCCAAACCAGCCTGAACCTGGTTGCCAATGTGGGGGCTGGAGGGAGCAGACTCCCAAGCCTTACCAGCCCTGGACCAGCAGGTGACTTCAGGAGCCCCCAGGGTGTCTTTATGGACATGGGCAAAAATAAACCACGGCCTTAGGAGGTGAGAGGGGCTTGGAGGACACCATGCCAACTTGGCAGGTACTTGCACACAGGGGCTGCCCCATCCTCTCTGCGTCCACCATCCACCCGAGGGGCTTTACCACCACCACTAACTCACACTGCCGTCTGCCCCTCTGAGCCACCCGCCCTCTGCCAGCCCCCGCTCGGCCTCCCTTGCCTGAGGCCTGAGCCTCACCGCCTCACCTGGTCCCACCTGGGGCTGAGCGGTGCCCCCAGGAGCAGCACTGGCCCCAAGCTGCAGATGCAGAAAGGGTGGCTCAGAGAGGTGCAGTGACTTGTCAAGGTCACCTTTCCAAGGAGGGACCCTATCTCTATCCCCCAGAGCAGGCCTGCCTGAGGGTCCCCTCTGGAGGATGAGGGCTGTGACACTCACTTCCTGGGATGTGGGGGAGGGATGTTGAGGCAGAAGAGTGCTGACACAGGGACCCCACATGAGGGTCTTTTGAGGAATGCCCTTCCTAGAGCCATTTGATAGCCAAGAGCCTGGGAGCTTCTCCAGCACAGCACAGAGATTGGAACCCGGCGTGGATTCGGCCACACCCCATGGGACCTGCTTCTACGAGGGTTCTGGACCACTCACGTGCTGGAGGCGGAGGAACCACCTGCCGGAGAGATGCCAGGGCCAGGCACCGGCAGGAGAGTCCGTGTGGCCCTGCCCCGTGCTAGTTCTGTGCGGTCATTTCTCCCTGTTGAGACTGCTTTCTTGGGTTTGCAGGGAACACTGGGTGGGGGTTTCAGAGAGGTGGTGACTCACCCAGGTTACACAGTGGCCAGTGCGGCCACATCCACAGCTTCCCCGATTCTGTGGCACCCTGTGGCTCGGGGCAGGAAACAGCCCTGATGTTCTGTGACTGCTTCTCAGGATGGGGAGGGGGCTCTGCCTCGAGTTGGTGGTGTCAGGCAGCATCAGTCCAAACCGGGTTTACTGATATTTATCTGAGGGGCCACATCCAGGATTCATGCAGAGCCTGAGCCAAGGGCCCCCACCCCCGGGCAGGCATTGTACAGTCTGGGTGCCCAAACATCTGGCCTGGGACACTGGCTGCCCTGTCCAGCTGCCTGGACCCTTGGCACCGGAGCCCAGCTGTGTGAGGCTGTCAGCAGCTGGAGTAGGATGCGGGCACCTCTCCGAAACTCCCTGAGTGAGGTCACTTCCTTACGGTGACGAGGCCGGGCCCTCCAGGCACTTGCCCAACGAGCCTGGCCATCCTGCCAGCCTGTGAGGAAGCTGCGTGTCACAGGGCCCGGCCCAGTGCCTGGGGCTTGACACCACCCTCTTGTGGGAGGGGTTGCTCAGAGAGAGCCCTGCAGAAAGGCCCACTGCTCCTCAGTCAGGAAGGCCCACCCCTAGCTCCTCTCACCCCCTCCAGGAAGCCCTCTCAGATTGCCAGGGCGCACTCTAAGGCCTGCCTCCTGCCAACCACATACTGCTAGGCCATGGGTCTCCAAGCCTCCGCCCACCTGAGCCTGGGGAGGCTGGGGGAAGACCTAAGCTGCCTGGAGCTGCAGCACCTGAGCAGTGCACTGGTGCCACCTCACCTGAGCCCAACATGGCCCATGTGCCAGGGCCTGTGACTCAGGCTTGCCCTCTATCTGTCTCCTCCCAGCTGCAGCCTGAGGAAAGTGAGAGGCCCCGTGGCATGACCCACCTGGTTTTCAGACACTTGCTGTCAGCCTGATCTTGGCCTTGGAGGGCTGTGTTCTCTGTTGCTGTGTCTCTTCCTGAGCTCTTCCACTGGAGCCTGACAGGCAGGTCCTACCTCACAAGATGTTGGGGATTGATTGAGAAACCAGGAACACCCTTCTCCTTGGCCCCTGATGAGCTCCTGTTTATCCCTCAGTACCCTGCTCAGAAGCTATTATCAGCTCCTTAAATGCAGTGATAATGTTTTATTCTTTGGGAGCCCCAGGGATCAGCCCAGGCACTCAGGAAATGGCTAAAAAAGCATCCTGAGGCCGGGCTCGGTGGCTGACGCCTATGATCCCAGCAAGTTGGGAGGCCGAGGTGAGCAGATTGCTTGAGCCCAGAAGTTTGAGACCAGCCTGGACAACACAGCAAGACCCCCCCATCTCTACAAAAAAAAAATAAAAATTAGCCAGGCATGGTGGCATGTGCACTATAGTCCCAACTACTTGGGAGGCTGAGTTGGGAGGATCACTTCAGCCCAGGCGGTCGAGGCTGCAGTGAGCCGTGATTACTCCACTGCACTGCAGCCTGGGTGACAGAGCAAGACCCTGTCTCAAAAAATAAAGGCATCCACGTCATTGTCCAAAAGACCCCCTCTGCACTGACTACTGAACGTGCAGACTGTTGGCGTGTGTATGAGACCAGACAGCCCCTTGCTGCCTCGGGTGAGACTGGCAGTCAGGCGTGCCAAGATGAGGGGGCCCCGTGGGGCAGAGTGGGGCCTCCGTCGGGCTCCATCAGGCTGGTGTCACCTCCACAGGGCTGCTTGTGGGTGGTTATGGAGCCTCCAGAGGTTGGGAGATGGGGCCAGGACACAGGGAGCTCAGGAAAGGGCCCTCCCAGCAGTCACTCGCAGATGGAAAACAAGAGCAGCCAACATGACCGCCCTGCACCTGGCTCGTGGGGATGTCTCCAGAAGCTTGAAGGAGTGAACCAATGAACAAAGGAACAAACAAAATACAGGAAGGGAGAGAGGGAGGACTGAGGTGGCCCCATGCCCTGCACAGGGCTCAGATTGCAGAATCGCTGGGGCAGCCTTCTCACAGCGCAGATGCTCACCCTCCTGGCCTGAACTTCTCATTCCGCCGGTCTGGGGGAGCCCTGGCAGGTGTATTGTCATTAATTATTTCCAACGTTAAAAAATTACCAAAGATAGGCCAGGTGCTGTGACTTGTGCCAGTAATCCAGGGCTGCTTTGGGAGGACCAAGTGGGAGGATTACTTGAAAACAGGAGTTCAAGACCAGCCTGGGCAAGACAGCAAGACTCCATTTCTTTAAAAAAAAAAAAAAAAAAAAAAAAGTCCAGGCGCGGTGGCTCACGCTTGTAATCCCAGCACTTTGGGAGGCCGAGGCGGGTGGATCACAAGGTCAGGAGATCAACACCGCAGTGAAACCCCGTCTCTACTAAAAATACAAAAAATTAGCCGGGTGTGGTGGCCAGCACCTGTAGTCCCAGCTACTCGGGAGGCTGAGACAGGAGAATGGCGTGAACCCGGGAGGCAGAGCTTGCAGTGAACCGAGATCGTGCCACTGCACTCCAGCCTGGGTGACAGAGCGAGACTCCATCTCAAAAAAAAAAAAAACACGCCTACCAAAAATATTAACCAATTGTTGATATAAAAAGTAAAAAAGAGGCTCGAATTATTTCAGAATTGATGCTGGGCACAGTGGCTCGCGCCTGTAATCCCAGCACTTTGGGAGGCCAAGGCAGGCAGATCACTTGCAGTCAGGAGTTGGAGACCAGCCTGGCCAACATGGTGAAACCCCGTTTTTACTAAAAATGCAAAAAAAAAAAAAAAAAAAAAAAAAAAAAAATTAGCCGGGCATGGTGGTGCACACCTGTAATCCCAGCTACTCAGCAGGCTGAGGCAGGAGAATTGCTTGAACCTGGGAGGTGGAGGTTGCAGTGACCTGAGATTGCACCATTGCACTCCAGCCTGGGCAACAAGAGTGAAACTCCATCTCAAAAAAAAAAAAAAAAAAAAAAAAAAAGGAAGGGAATTCTAACACAAGCTACAGCACGGATGGACTCTGAGGACACTATGCTGAGTGAAATAAGCCAGACACAAAAAGACAAGTACTGAATGATTCCACACGTACCAGGTCCCAAGAGTCGTCAGATTCAGAGACAGAAGGTAGGAGGGCAGGTGCCAGGAGCTGGAGAGGACAATGGGGAGTTTAATAGGGACACAGTTTCCATTTGGGGAGATGAGAAATCATGGAGGCAGATGCTGATGGCGGCTGCATGACAGTGTGAATATGCTTAGTGTGAATATACTCAGTGTGAATACGCTCAGTGTGAATATGCTGAGTATGCTCGGTGTGAATATGCTCAGTGTGAATATGCTCAGTGTGAATATGCTCGGTGTGAATACGCTCGGTGTGAATACGCTCGGTGTGAATATGCTCGGTGTGAATATGCTGTGTGAAAATGCTCAGTGTGAATACGCTTGGTGTGAATACGCTTGGTGTGAATATGCTTGTAATATGCTCGGTGTGAATATGCTTTGTGTGAATATGCTTTGTGTGAAAATGCTTAGTGTGAATACGCTCAGTGTGAATACGCTCGGTGTGAATATGCTCGGTGTGAATATGCTCGGTGTGGTGTGAATATGCTTGTAATATGCTCGGTGTGAATATGCTTTGTGTGAAAATGCTTAGTGTGAATACGCTTAGTGTGAATACGCTCGGTGTGAATATGCTCGGTGTGAATACGCTCAGTGTGAATACGCTTAGTGTGAATACGCTCGGTGTGAATATGCTCGGTGTGAATATGCTCGGTGTGGTGTGAATATGCTTGTAATATGCTCGGTGTGAATATGCTCAGTGTGAAAATGCTTAGTGTGAATACGCTTAGTGTGAATATGCTTGGTGTGAATATGCTCGGTGTGAATATGCTTGGTGTGAATATGCTTGGTGTGAATATGCTTGTAATATGCTCGGTGTGAATATGCTTTGTGTGAATATGCTGTGTGAATATGCTCAGTGTGAAAATGCTTAGTGTGAATACGCTTAGTGTGAATATGCTTGGTGTGAATATGCTCGGTGTGAATATGCTTGGTGTGAATATGCTTGTAATATGCTCGGTGTGAATATGCTCAGTGTGAAAATGCTTAGTGTGAATACGCTTAGTGTGAATATGCTTGGTGTGAATATGCTCGGTGTGAATATGCTTGGTGTGAATATGCTTGGTGTGAATATGCTTGTAATATGCTCGGTGTGAATATGCTTTGTGTGAATATGCTGTGTGAATATGCTCAGTGTGAAAATGCTTAGTGTGAATACGCTTAGTGTGAATATGCTTGGTGTGAATATGCTCGGTGTGAATATGCTTGGTGTGAATATGCTTGTAATATGCTCGGTGTGAATATGCTTTGTGTGAATATGCTGTGTGAATATGCTCAGTGTGAAAATGCTTAGTGTGAATACACAGTGTGAATACGCTTAGTGTGAATATGCTCGGTGTGAATATGCTTAGTGTGAATACGCTGTGAATACGCTTAGTGTGAATATGCTCGGTGTGAATATGCTCGGTGTGGTGTGAATATGCTTGTAATATGCTCGGTGTAAATATGCTCAGTGTGAAAATGCTTAGTGTGAATACGCTTAGTGTGAATATGCTCGGTGTGAATATGCTTGGTGTGAATATGCTTGTAATATGCTCGGTGTGAATATGCTTTGTGTGAATATGCTTTGTGTGAATATGCTCAGTGTGAAAATGCTTAGTGTGAATACGCTTAGTGTGAATATGCTCGGTGTGAATATGCTCGGTGTGAATATGCTTAGTGTGAATACGCTGTGAATACGCTTAGTGTGAATATGCTGTGTGAATATGCTTAGTGTAACTATGCTTAGTGGCACTGAACTGTGCACTTTAAAAAATGGTTAAGAATGTAACTTGTGATGTACCCTTTACCAGTTTTAAAAATGCATTTACATATGAATATCCATGCAGGCGGGGGTATGAGCTTGTGTCTCTTCCTGTGTCTGGGCCATCTTCCAGGAACCCCCCACCCCAGCCCTCATTATCTGGAATCCTCCATGTCTCAGCCACCCCTTGTGATGGTTGGGTTTGGGCTGGGTCCCTGTTGCTGTCATCTTACATGGCACTGCCTTCCTGCACACCAGACATGGCACTGCTGGGCTAGCAAGGCCCTCAGATGTGTGGTAACTGCCAAAATGGCCTGCCAGTGGGGCTGTTCCTATTCACCCTTTCCCCCAAGGGCTGCAATGCCAATCTCCCCATGGCTAGGCCAATGGTGGGCACTCTGTACTTAAAAAAAAAAAGTCAATCTGGGCAATAGCTCACGCCTGTAATCCAACACTTTGGGAGGTCAAGGTGAGTGGATCACTTGGGTTCAGGAGTTTGAGACCAGCCTGGCCCACATGGTGAAACCCTGTCTCTACTAAGAATAGAAAAAATTACCCTAGTGCAGTGGCATGCACCTGTAATCCCAGCTACTCGGGAGGCTGGGGCAGAAGAATTGCTTCACCCTGGGAGGTAGAGGTTGCAGTGAGCTGAGAAAGTGCCACTGCACTCCAGCCTGGGCCATAGAGTGAGACCCTGTCTCAGGAAAAACCAAACAACCAAACAAACGAACAAAACAACAACAACAACAACAACAAAACCCCACAATCTGGTGGTCAAAAACTGAGGTCTTCACACACATTTCTCTATCCCTGGGGTGGGGGCAGCCATCTCTCTGGGTGTCTGTGGCCTTTGGCGTGGCTGTCTTTTCCCCTCTTCATGTGCTTTGGTCTGTTTGAAAGACCCCTTTCAGGGACTGAATGGTGGCCCCCAATAAGACATATCCATGTTCTACTCCCTGAAACCCACGAATGTTACCTTTGATGGCAAATGGGTGAACATGACCTTAGTGGCTAGGGTGTGATATAGGAAAGGCCCCTGAGAGCAGGAGCTTCCCCTGGACTACCCAGGTGGGCCTCACAAGGGAGAACTATGGAGAAGCAGGCATAGGGGTAGGAGGCCACGTGAGACAGAGGCAGAAATCGGAGGGAAGTGGCTGCAAGCCAAGGAATGCCTGGAGCCCCCAGATGACGAGGAAGGGTCCCCACATAAGGTCTGGTGTTCTGGTCCTTGGGGAGGGCAGCCCCTGCTGAAAAGGGGCAGGTTGAGACCCAGGGACCACTTCAGGCCCTCGCTGGCAGCCCCCAGGCTGGGGGCAGCAGACTCTAGCAACTCTGGCCAGTGCCTGCACCTGAGGCCCCATCTCCAGGCGTTCCCTCTTGTCCTCCCAGCCCTGCACCCGCCTTGCTCAGTGAGGCACTGTCCTCCCTCCTCGGACTGGCTTCCAGCCAGGCAGGCACTGGTGAGGGCCGGTGTGGGCAGCCCTGCCATGCCCAGGGTCTGGGTTCTGAGGAGGTGAAGCTTCTCCCCATGTCCCAGATACAGAAACTGAGACCTAGGGAGATTTGGAAACTTGGTGGACACCACAGACTTCTTGAGGAGCTCGACAAGGGTGATCTGTGTGGGTCCGCCCTGAGTGGGGTCCTGGACACAGCTGTAGCTGCCCCGTTTCTCCTGGGCTGGGCTGGGCTGGGCCAGGCTGTTGGGTTGTCATGGTAAGTAACATCCGGCTGCCACCCTCAGAAAGCCATGAGTCAGCATGGCCAGGATGGGCTAGTGATTGGCACCTTGGGGACAGCCTAGCAGGTGGGGCCTCCCTCAGGCACACCAAGGTGACCTGGCCTCGGCAAGAGGCGTCCAGGCCTCACCCTGCAAGAGCTGGGCCCTGGCTTCTGTCCTGAGACTCGGGTCTGCATCTCTTAAATGGGGAACGTCCCAGGCGCATGAGGTGCCTGGAAACCCACGCCAAATTCAGCGCATCAGAAGCTCAGCCAGGGCCAGCCTGAGGAGGCGTCCTTCCAGGAGGCCCTGCTGTTGGGGGCCACTGCTTGCCAGTGTCTCCTGGTGGGTGGGGTCCAAACAGCTGGGCCTGGGGTCCCTTGGGCCCCCCACTCCACATGGGGATGCTCCCTGGGGCGGGCTGGGGAGGAGGTGCCTGCTCCAGCAGAAGGAACCTGGGAAGGCACCTGTTCTGAGGGTTTTGGGGCAGAGGCCGAAGTCCATGCCAGGCTGTGGCCAGGCTGGCCTGGCTGGCAGGGAGCCACAGGCTTCTGCACACAGCAACCCCTTCTGCAGGCCCAGGGCTCCCTCAGGGCACTGCAGCTGGAGTTGGCTGAGTCTGGGACGGTCACTTCTCCCACCGCTGCCCCTGGCTGTTCCTCTGTTGCTCACCAGTTGCCCAGCCCTGAGCCCTGACTCAGAGCCAGGCAAGCCAAGGACCCAGCAGGGGCAGGTCAGAGGTCAGTAATATCAAGGTGTGCCTGGATGAGCCAGGCAGAGGCCAGGGGCTCCACCTACCCACCTGGCTGGCTGGTGGAGCCAGCTGGCTGCCCCCTACCCACCCCACCCCTGCCTCCCACCTCAGGGGCAAGCTTGGATCCTGGCAGCTCATGCTGACTCAGCCTGCCCAGTGATGGGGCTGGGGGCAGCCTAGGGCATTTTGAGAGTGGGACAAGATGGGTGGGGTGGCAGGAAGCCCTGGACCTGGGACTTGGGGAAGGGGGCTCTGGCCCCATGGGTGGCCCTTGGGCCTGGGGAGGTTTGCTGGGCAGCAGGACAGGAGCAGAGTGGGATGTCGGCTTGGTCCCAGCTCCACATAAACAGGAGTCATGAGCCTAGAGAGCAGACTGGCCAGGTAGGCTGACCTGGGGTACACACCACCCGCGGACCCACACGCCAGGCAGCTGTGGACAAGGGTCCCAGGTGACCCTGCTGGGGAAAGCAGCAGCCATCAGGTTCTAGGGAGCCATAGCTCCTGACTCAAGGGAAAAAACAGAATTTTAAGTGGAATCACCCTGTTTTGGGGACTTCTGAAAACTGAGCTTCAGGCCAGGCACGGTGGCTCACACGTGTAATCCCAGCACTTTGGGAGGCCAAGGTGGGTAGTTCACCTGAGGTCAGGAGTTCGAGACCAGCCTGGCCAACATGGTGAAACCCCATCTCTACTAAAAATACAAAAATTAGCCAGGTGCAGTGGTGCATGCCTGTCATCCCAACTACTTGGGAGACTGGGCAGGAGAATCGCTTGAACCTGGGAGGTGGAGGTTGCAGTGAGCCGAGATGGTGTCACTGCACTCCAGGCTGGGCAATGGAGCGAGTCTCCGTCTCAAAAAAAAAAACAACGCTGAGCTTCATTGAGGACTAACTTATATACAACCAAATATACCCATTTTTGATGTAACTCAATGAATTTTGACAGACGTATACACCTGTGTAACCACTTCCATCCCTCTAAAGCGTTCCTTGGTCAATCCCCCCACCCCAGATCCCTCCCAGGCAGTCACCGGCACTATAGCTTTGCAGGCTCTAGAACCGGACAGAAACAGGGCCCTCCAGGTCTTCTGTGCCTGGCTGCTTGCCGTGCGGGTTCTTTCCCTCCTTGCCCAGGAGCACCCGTGTGATGGCAGCTGACAGAAGCGTCTGAGCCACCTGTGCAGGGGGTGGGGGTGCCCCAGGCCCCACCTCCCATCTCCCGGGCTGCTCCCCAAACTCCTGCCCTGACCCCAGCGCCACTGGTTTTGAGTCTCAGTTCCCGCACAGGGTGAACAGTCACAGGAAGGGCAGGGGCTGGGGGAGCCCCAAGCGGGGTGGGGTGGGTGGGGCGGGGCTGGACGGTGAATGTCTGCCTCCCCAGCCAGGGGCTGAGTCGGGAAAAAGGAGGGCCTGGGCTAGCAGAGCTGAGGTTCTGTGGCAGACCCCCTGGCCTCCAGGACCAGAAGGGAAGCAGCCACCCTTCACCCAGGCCAGGCTGGGCGGCCGCCACAAGCCCCCACTTCCCAGCTGCCTTCCAGATGGTGGCTCTGGGCAAACCTCTCAACCACTCAGCGACTTTCGGTGACCACTGATGGCTGAGGTTCCTGAGCTGACAATGGCCTGGGCCTGGGATGGTTCCTGGGCTCCTTGGCCACTGGAGAATGACCTTCCCTTTTCTGAGACCCTGGGGTGCAGGCAGGACACGGCGGCCATGCAGGGGTGACAGAGGCCGGAGGTGCTGAGGTCCTGGGGGAGACCAGGTTGCCTGCACCCTCGGGCCTCCACAGCTCCCCAGGCTTCACGTTGAGGTCCTGCACCCAGATGTCCTTGGAACTGGGCAGCATCCACGAACCATGCACTCCCAAGGTCAGACTCACTGGGGGACACAGGAACCCAGCTCAGTGAAGGATGCACGCAGGTGGGTGCAGGGTTCTCACACACTTCTTACTCAAAAGGGAAAATCCAGATACCCCCACCCCCAGAAGCCACAATGTTAAGCCCTTTCCCCTGCTTGTGCAAATCTGATCGAAAAGTGCAAATCTGATCTAAAACCACCCAGCTAGGTAGTGAGGGGCACTCCCCAAGCCTGTGGAGCCCTTCCTAAAAAGGCACTCTGGGCACCCAGTGGACAGGGCAGTGTGCAGGGCTGTCTCCGCAGCTGAAGGGCGGGTCACTGCAAAACAGCATATGCCCCTTGGATTATGGGGTCTGACCCTGGGCAGACCAAGTAAGGCCAGGGTGCTGCTCACCCATGGGGCCACCCTGAGGCTGGGGAGCCTGAGACCAAGCTCCCCCAGGTACTTCACAGGATGGGGACGGAGGAACGGGTGCAGGAAGCACAGACATCAGGCTCCCCGGCCCTTGGGGGTATGCTGCAAGCATTCACTTCCCAGCCTGCACCTGCCCTTCCTGCTGCTCCCAGAGAGAAGGCAGCCCACGGGTGAGCTGGAGGCAGCAGGGCGGGGCCAGCCACGTGGGGAGCAATGAGCCAGCTCCACGGCTGCCTTCTCATGACAGCGTTTCATTCACCAGGCGGCGCTGCCAAGGCTGGGATTCCCACGGTCAGGTCAGGAAGTGCCGGTGCAGCAGGTGTTGAGTGCCTCCTCTCATTGTGGATGGAAGAGACACGGGGAAAAGCTTCAGAGAGCAAACACACCTAACATGGGCTTTATCAGGAAGTTCTCCTCTTGGAGCCTTCTGGATCTACAAAGCACAGTCCCACTAACTCTGAGAAATGATCCCCTCCTGGGGGCAGGAACAGTCTTCCCCTGGGCCCGCAGTGAAGCTGCCTGCATACAGCAGCAACTTAGGTGTAGTGGGGGGGCTACAGCAGCCTCTGCCTCAAACTGAGCTTTCAAGGCCTCAGAAGTAAACTGTACAACCGGTCTTGGAGCCACCAATACCCAGGGCTCAACAGAGCCCAACAGGTGTGCAGCACATCTGAGCCTTCCCCACCACATTCCCCTGCAAAGACCCACATGGCACAGTGCTGACTCAATGTTTCACCACTTTAATAGAATATTCTAACTATTCTGTACAAATTGAAAACACTGTATTCAGTTACAAATGTGTTCTAAGGTTAGGCCGAGCACTCTCCACAGGCCTGGTCAGTGCGGACACGGCCATCCCCGGCTGCCGGAGAGCGCCGTCACCCACTTGAAAACCCCACCCACCAGCCGCCAAGCGGTCACACCAAACCCAGGACCTTCAGACAGGATGAATGGTGGGGCCCCGCAATGGGGCTACTGAGAAAGCAGGACTTGACGCTCATACGCTCCACTGAAACGCAGGACTTCCCAGCCCAGTCCCTCAGTGGAGAAGACTGCCGAAGCCCGGCTCCGGCAGCAGGGTGGCGCCTGCGTCATGAGGACGGGCTCGCATCTTCAGCCCTGGTGGCAGGGAGCGGCGTTTCTTCCGCACAGGCCTTGCGCCTGCTAGGAAGTGGCACATCTTCCTGCTCAGGGCACCAAGGTGGTTCAGAAACGTTAAGGACGAGCCACAGCGAAAAGCCGCAGTCCTCACAGGCAAGAAGGGATAAATAAATATGAGGTGACCCGCAGCAGCTCTCACCTGGGCTGGTGTGTCACAACCCTGACCCACCCCTAAAAAAAAAAAAAAATGAAGAAGCAACATCCTAAGGAGAACAGGGCCCTACTCTACACAGCCCTTTCTGAGATGATCGGCATACAGCAGGTGATGCAGGCTGCACACTCAGCAGATTCAGCGGCTGGAAACAGCAAGTGGGTTTCTTCGGATGAAAGGGAAGAATTCAGTCCAACTGCAGGAGGGGTGGGAGAGGTTCCAGATCCTGGGAACCACATCACCAGACCTCGGCCCTTTTTGCCAAGTGACCCCCACCCCACCCTGATGTGGTCTACAGGGCCCTCCCACAGGGAAAGGCCCAGGGAAGTCCAGAGCTACAGGCACCAAGGCTGCAGAGGGTGCTGGACGAAACCTCCTATTTCTGAAATGCATTTCAGTTGCCACTGTACAAGTTAAGCAAAATAATAAGGAAAAAGGAAAAGTGAAAGTGAAAATCATGCACTTGAAAACGAGTTAGATGGAGTAAGCTCTGTCCACGGGATTGTGCTGCGGCAAGGACCGAGGCCCCGCCCACAGGCCTGGAGTCCCGACAGCCGGTCTGCCAGGCACCCGCCTCCGCTTCCTACTGCTGCTTGCATTCCGCCGGCTGGCTGGGTTCCTTCTGTCAATGAAAAAGACAAGGCTTGTAGAGAGCAAAGCCAGCTCCATTCACCAATTAGCTCCAATCAACAATGAAAGCCAAGACTGAATGAGTTCATTCTCATTGAAAAAAATGGTTACTGCAAATATACTTTTAAAAATAGTGACAAAAACAAAGCTAACTCCCCCTACCACCCTGCAGTCAAAGCAGGGTTTTTTTTTGTTTTTAAAGCTATGCCTTCAAGCATTCAAATTCATGGCATGTTCAGCAGGAGGGTTTTGGGGCTCCTTGGGGTGGTGGAGCTCCAGGGGGCTGCCCATGAAAGGGCTGGGAAGCAGCTGGAACCCCTGCCCACACAGAGCACAGTGCGCTCAACACGGGCAGCTCCATCCAGGAAGGCCACCGCGGAGGCAACCCCTCTTGGTGCCAACAGTCCCCACTTCTCAAGGGCACATCTGTCTGGGGGTAGGCTGGGCCCTTGGCGCTCATGGAAAGCACATCTCTCCTCTAGCGGGTTCCTGCTCTTTGTACTACCAGGGAGCGCCCCGGCAGATCCATCCTCTTCTGGTGGCCTGTACTGCACCAACAAATGATGAGCTGCCACTCCCAAGAGCTCCATCTGTCACTCACTCTCCTTCACTCTCCTAACAGTCTCACCAAGGGGCAATGCTATCCTTCCAGTAACGGCATCCGGGACACAAAATTCCCCTCCCAGAGGAATGGATTAACTCCAATATTATCTAACACAGAGATCTTGTACCCTTTAAACCACATCCAGCAACTCCATGAATTTGTGTGGAGGCCAACAATAGCCTAAGAAATACATCACGATCTTGCTAATGCTTCTGCGCTAGTAACTTTACGAACCTGTAACCTATGATTTCTGGCTAAGATTACAAATTGCCCTTAATCCAGCGTGCCTATGGAACCTAAGAACTTGTACTGTATGGGGCAAAAAGATCCCTGGGTTACCATAAATGATATCTTCCACAGTATAAGCTGAGGCTACAGTTCATTCTTTTGGAAATCACATTTAAGGGATGGCCGAAAAAATATGTGTAAAATATGCAAAAAACAAAATCAATAACCTTGAACCCTGGTGTCTAAGCTCCCAATCTCAGCCACCCCAGAGGCTGCCCAAAGAGCCTGGCCAAGACAAAACGAGGCTGACCAAAAACCCTCGCCATGTCAATCTGACATTCAAGGGTAGACTGAAGGTGGCCCAGTGTAGTGGCCAAGAACACTGAGCCACTGGCCTTAGGAGTGTGGGGGATGCAGGGCGCCCCGAGCAGGAGCAGTGAGGGGAGGAGTGGGACAAGCAGTGTGCCTCCACCAAGGGACTCGCCTAGAAAATGGGATGTCAGTAAAGGAGCTGTGCAGGGACGGGGAAGACTGGGGCTGGTGACAAGGTGACAGACTCCATCTTTATGTACATTTAAATTACGCAAATACTATGTCATGTCATACACAGGACTTTATAATTTATCCTACCACAGATTGAGCATCCCAAATCCCAAATCTGAGATACTCCAAAATCTGGAACCCAAGACAAAGAAAATGCTCACGGGAGGATTCCAGATTTGGAATGCTCAACCAGAAATAAATCTAAATTATCCTAAGTTGCAGAAATGATGTAATAGGTATTTTCAACCACGAGAATGTAGTATTCATCTGTCCTAAATAAAACCAATATCCTGGGTGAAGACTGCTAGAGGGAATAGAGTCCGCATAGAACACTCTCTCAAGACCGGTGTCATGACCCAGTGCCTTGCTGGAGGGGAGTAGGCCATGCACCTGACTCTGGGAAGAGCTGCCTCCCCCGTGCCTTGAGGGCACAGCCCCCTCTGGGAAGGAAGGCAGCATGTGGCCCACCCCTGCCAGGCTTTGGTGCTCACACAGCACACTGGAGCTTCTGCAAGTGACTGACAGGAGTTTTAGAAGTGAATTTTACATGTGAGAGACACCAATTGTTTTTAGCTTGTGACACATGCCGAAAAAAAAAAAACTACACCTAAACTCCCAAACTGAAGCGTCCTTTATCTCATGTCACAAATTTTAATGATGGTTGAGTCATTAATCAATGCTAAGATTATCAAGGGAGGAGGAGTTGGCATTTTAAAAGGTACCAACTAATAGGAAAAAAATCTCATCTCTCATGGGACCATTTAAAAGGTGGGGTTTGAACAGATAACACTCGACCTGAGAAAGGCAACAAAGACATGCCGCTGAAACACACTCGACCATAGCTGCGCTGGCGAAGAAGCCCCAAGTGCCCAGAGCCCTATGGCTGAAGAGGCAGCAGCCTCAGTGGGACACTCCTCGGGGGTTGCTGCTGTTGCACCCTGCCCTTCTCTTCCAGGGAGGCATACTGAAATACGGATAGGTGGCACGCATCGAGGATTCTCTTCAAAAGAGCTGGTGGCATGGGAGGGGTGGCGTGGGAGGAGTGGGTGAGGGTACAGGTGGAATAAGAGTGGCTAAGTTCTTCAGACATGCGGGGACAACAGGAATTAATGGCAGCTAGACATAATTTTAAACATACAGCCATATTCTGAAACCTGGCCCTGGAAAACAAAATCGTTCCAAGAGCTGCATCCGCCCTATGTACCATCAGTTTCCCATGAAAGCAGCCTACATGAGGAAGACAGGGAGGCGGTGGCGCTAAGACCTCAAGGACGTCTGGTCTATGGGCTGCCAGGATCATGCTGATGTTCTGTGACGAGACCCTTAAAAACGGAGTGCCTACTTATCCTGGCATGCAGAGGCCCTGCTATGGTTGTGGGGTTCCTCATGGCACCTCTTGTCCCCACCTCTCTGCTTTCTCCCACTACATCCCGAGTGCCACGAGTGAACAGGTCTCGTCACGGGCAAGAGCCTCTGTCTACTTACGGCCTCCTGTCAGCATTCCAGGACAGGACAGAGCTACAGGGACTGAAGAAAGTGGAGTGGGAAACAGCTTCCAGGCTTACTGACACTCACTTTCATCTACAACTGGTTCTTGCTTCATTCAACTAGCACCAACCTCACAACAGTACTTTTTACTGCTGACACCAAAACAGATGCCAGTTCATGTTTCAGATAAAAAATGCTGGCACAGTAAAAGCTGTTACCCCTCTGTGTACCTATTGGTCTGCACAAAACATGAATTCAAAAAGTATAGATATTCAACAGACACGTGTTGGTAATGACAGTGGGCCAATTTCAACTGCCAGTGTGTGTTCTGAGCACAGCTGGGACAGCCCAGTGTGTTATGCTCTCTGCAAGGACTGCTTGCTTATGGTGGCCCGTGTGTGCCACCGTGCAGACTGCTGACCATCCAGGGCCCTCTTACTGGAAAGCAGTACCATCAGCAATGAAAATTACACCCAAGTTACATCTTTGCTACTTGGTTAGCAAGAAACACTGGGCTCAGAAAGCAGGGACCAAATCTAGGTTTGGTTCGTTGATTTTAAAAGTACATGTAACAGACACCTATGTCAAACCTGTGACACAGTGAGTGTACCTGGACAGCAACTCCCTCTTTATTCAAAGTCAAAACAATGCATTGTATAAAGTATAGATCAGAAGTTTGGAAGTTAGGTATGAATGGAATTCCACCTTACCTAGAAACGTATGAATGATTAACAGACAAAAATTACACCTAAATGGGGAAAAAAATTGAAAGGAACTGTCAGCATGAAAGAAAATGAAATGCACAAAATTATACAGGAGGAAACGGCCACAATTTCTCATGATACAAAAGGGCTGCAAGATACTGAACTCGGGGTGAACAACTTCAACACTAGATCATACTTTCAAAATGGGCAGAAGCATGATTTTCACTTCTATCAGACTGCTCCCAATACTAAAACCTCCCTTCCTTCCTTGTTTTCTTTTGCTTGCACAGACTCTAACACTGCCCATCTCTCTGGAAGGTGCATGTGACAGGGACAGCAGGCTTGGCCTTATCCTGGCCACACATGCCGGGCCGTCTCTGAACTTCATTCACACCATTAGCCGGAACATGTTTTTAGTCCCTTCTCCCCCAACCAACATAACCGTTTATCAAAGGTTTCATGGGGTGTTAGCATGTGTAATCCACCACATCATGTTCTCTGTAATGGCTGGTGAGAATGCTCTTTTAGAAACCTGGGACGTGAAAGGAGACTCAAGGTTCTCCAAGGTGACAGAGAAAGCAGAACAAACAACAGAGGGGAGGAAAAGAGAAGCTGAGGCACAGAATACAGGGAGGGGGAGATACAAGTGCAACAAGGACAGAGGCAGCTGTGCGCGGAGTCTGAGGAGGTGGCCCTGCCAATTGACCCCAGTCCTTGCTTTACAACTGCAACCTTAAAAGTGTCCATTCAGCGCCCACAAGGCGGAAACACAGCCCAATAAACACACGTGGCCCTTGGGTCCATCAGACACCCCGCACAGCAGTGATGGGCAGCATTTATTCACCCAACGTTGTTCACTGGCTGACTGACAGCCCTCACCTTCCCTGTCCGCACACTGTGATGCACGCAAGGCAGACCCAGGCCTTGGTCTCCTACAGCCCTCACCGCCCACCACCACGGTGCTGCGCACAGGTACGCTTTCAGCAGAGTCCTCCCACATCAACAGGCCAAACTTTAGAAGATGAACATTTCCATGAGCAGATTATTCCCAGAGTAGTCTTTATAAGACACATTCTCAAAAAAGTTTTAAAAGCTCTTCTCCCATCCCTTCCTTGAAGGAACCACAACTGTGAACATGCATTCATGGAAACAGCCAGTTTAAACCAACTGATGACAGAGCCAGAATATCACACTGACAGCTTTTAGTGCACACTCCAAAAAACAAGGGTAAAAACAAGCAAAAAACGTCTAGTCGGACAGAGACACATTACAAAAACACCAGGTAACGTTAGTATTCTGACAGCCCATAATATACTTAATTTTAAGAGGCAAGTGAACTACACATTTCATGTTTTACAAGAAGAAACTCTTATGATGCTGTAGGATGACATTTAAGCACTTCTGATTTTAAAATGTGCCAAATGGTCAAAGTACCTTGATTTAAGTTACTCTGAGACCACAAATAAAAATCTAAATTTGCAGGTAAAATTAATGGGGTTGCCCACTCATTTTCAACTCAGTTTTCTTTAGTAAACCTTTCCAATTTATTTTAAATTATCTGAGACATATGAGATATCTAGACACATCATCTGGGCATGCTCAGCTCAAGTGCAACTGGGTCAAATGATGCCCACAATCCCATTATTCTGTTCCTTAACAAAAAGAGCCCCAAAGTCCCTTCTTTGCACCTTTTCCAAACACGCACAAAGAAAAGTTTATTTATGTTGTCAGTTAAATCATTACCTTACCTTAAAAGAATGAAACACTTGGAAAGTCAAGTTGCTCTACTGAGGAGTCTATGTAAATAAGACACAGCTTGAGACAGCTGGAAAAGCTTCTACTGAGTATGTACACTCAACACTCAAATTATAGACACAGTGTCTGAATAATCATTCCACTATTTTTCTGACACATTTTAAACTTTCTAATTAGGGAATAATGAATATTGTTAACACTACTGCCTCAAAGTGGGGAACATTTTTAAAAGTCTAAGAGTGCAGCATAATAAGTAGGTCTGGGTGGCCCCAAAGTTACCAACCTTGGGGTTAATTTCCGCATCATCCTCGTCTTCTCCCTCCTCGTCACCTTCTAATTCCTGTATTTAAAAAGTGAGAATTAGCTGGAATGACAAGATTTAAACTCTTGTGGCATTCACAATCCACAAACACAAGGAGCAAAACACTGCCTTAGATGGAAATCAATTACTGCTACCCACAAGTGACTCATCACTTCCTTTGGACACTTAGAATTATTTCTAGGTATCTTTTTGTTCTCACAGAGAGCCCTGAAAGAAACAAAATTCTGAAAAAGTAGATTTTGTTAAATGATTATTTTCTAAGATACATTTTCATGAACCAACTGCAGGGTCAAAAACGATGGAAACTGTCACAGCATTTGCTATGCATTTCTGCTTAGTGTTTTAAGAACATTCTTAGAATCAAAGACAGCGTCACAAAAAATGGGTTTAACACAGCCCTGTGAGTCCATAACCTTCAAGCAGAGAAAGCCAAAGAAACAACTTCAGGGAGGTAAGTGGCACTGCATAAACCTGTCTCTTACCTCCTCTTCTCCTTCTTCACCTTCTTCAAACTGGAGAAACACAGAAAAACATTTTTAGGTTTACAAAACATGACAGCAGCCTGCCCAAGACACCAGTCCCATCAAGTGACTCACTGACCAAGCCTAAGAGGAGCAGAAAGTCCAGCCACGCTGCCTGCTGGGCCTCGCTTGCCTGAGGAGCCATTTGCTTGTGTGCAGCGCATTTTAAAAGCATGCCAGGAAATTGAAAGTCACACAAAACAAGGAATAGGATAGGAAGCTGGTCAGCCAGGGTGTACCCTGGACACAGCTGGGAACCTGGCACCACAGCTCTGCCCTGGCTGTTCTCACACCGAGGAGCAGGCACACAGGAAAAGATTTTTGTAAACCGATGAATTTGTTTTCCTTAAATTTTCTACAAGGCTGATCGAACCAGCAGCATAATGTTATTGGATACAGGAATCTGGGTATCATTTTACATCTCATACAAAGGGAAAAGAAACCTTAGTAGAAATATATTAAAACTTTGGTGTTTAATCTTTAAAGTGATCAATAAGGTGCTCAAAGGTGAACCTCCACCATTAGTCAATTGTCTTGAATCAGTTTCTCCTACATCCAAATACATCATTGGTCAGACTAAAAATCAAGTTTCAAACATGAGACTTACACCAAAAGCAAAACCACCTTATCACTACTGGTTGCATAACAAGGGTAGTGCATGAAAATGCAGCTTCATTTATCAACATTTCCCGTTTTGTTGAGCTCACACCATGTATTGCTTAGAGCCAACTTCGGTGGAACTTAGAAGGGCCCTACTGTGCTGGTGTGGAGTTCACACAGTGTGCACAGCCTCCTGGCGCCACGCAGCAGCCAGGATGAGATGTGGCCACAGTGCAGCGCCCTTCCGCTCTAAGGACCCTAACTGGCATCAGGCAGGGAAAGGCTTCTCAATATTCTTCCATTTCACGTCAGATCCAACGAGCCTCCAGCAGGCTCCAGGGCCTATTCCAAGGCTCTAAGGACAGCATTTTGCCCTTAAGGGGCTGTGCACAGGGGCTGCTCCAGATGCATCACCCACCTGGGCAGAGCAGGAGCTGCCACGTGCAGAGAAGACAAGACCAGGGTTCCCACATTCACCTCCTCCTCCAACAACTTTCTAGTGTTGGGGTACGGTCTAGAAAGTAACATTAGTAAAACACTTTTTATGCCAACACTTACTGAGTCATTGCTCTGTGCCAGGTGCTATGTTAAGGGCTTAACAAGTAACCAGAGTCTTTACCATGAGCTCTACTTACAGCTGAGGAAACTGAAGCTCAAGGAGGTGGTGGAGCTACTAAAGGGAGAATGGGGATGCGAGTCTGAGCAGTCTAATCTGAGCTGGCACTTCTAGCCTCTAACTGACACTGCTCATCAGTAGTACCTGTGCTGAACGTATTGTGAATGAAACGCACATGTACTATAAGCAAATGTGGCACAGTGCTCACCAGCAGTACAGATACCGCATATAAGTAAGCAAATAGCACACATGCATATTCAAGTCCTTTAAACTGACGGGTGTATGATCAAAACAGTTTCAGATAAGCTTTCCAATGTGTAGCCACTAGCCCTTAGCTCACTATTTAAATTTAAACTAAGGTAAATGAAATGTTCAGTTCTTCAGTCTCAGCAGCCATATTTCAAGTCCTCAAGTGGTCAGTCCTACTGCACTGGACCAAGCAGGCAGAGGACAGTTCCATCAACAGAGAAAGTTCTACTGGAAAGTGCTGGTCTAGAATTTGTAAAACTATGTCTTGGCAGCTACCTGACTGTCCATGTTCCCTGACCTGCAATCACCTCCCAACCTAGGGATGAGCCAGCAAGTTGAGTTTTAGAAGTTAAATGAACAGTCTAAGACCTAACAGCTGATAAAGAGCACGCTGGCCTACTCTCCCCACTGGTGGAACTCAGTACAATGGGAGAGGTGTGAGGAGATGTTGGCCTTTACTGCCACAGGGGGCTAAGGCCCTTGAACCCACCTAAGCTCTTGCCGCCCTGTCTGAAGCCCCAACAGACCAGACCTTCTAAGAAAAGAAACCTAAGAGCTCCACAAGAAAGAGAGTATCATCTAGAACATACTTCCAGTAACAGTCTATAAAACAAAACTTTATTTTCCACAGATCAAGAAGACTTGAAGCTGCTTGAGCCTTGGTGAGGATGGGAGTTTCTAAGCGGTACTTGGGCTGTGCACCCGCAAGTTCTGACTGTGGAAGAGCTGGCTTCCCTCAAGCCCAGAAAGGAAAGTGACATGCAATCTTGTTGTTTTCTTCGGGAGCACGGGTTTCTTTTTTTTCCTTTTTACCTAATTAGATAGAAGTTCAGGAATTTCTATTTCTTTTGGGTTGATGAACCACAGGCTAGCATAAGTCCACTGTCAATAAATGTTTGTTGTGGCCAGACCTCCATAAAAGAGATATTCCCTGTGTTCACAAGTTCCCTGAAGCTTAGGTTTTGAGAGAATATTGTTGAGTCACTAGGCAGGGCTCACATAGGAAACTGGCAATCACCTCTGAAACTGCTTCACAGACACCTGCTTTTCCTGCTCTGTTCCTCAGACTTCTCCTCTTCAAGCGTATTCCCCCCACAACAAGGACAGCAGCTTGGACTACATATCTGGCTGATGATGTAATAAAAAGATTAGGCATGGGGGTTTCCTAAGCCACAATTCAGGGCCACTCTGCACCAACAGAGATAAGCACCCAGGTGGAAGCCCCCCTTCCCCGAGCCTCATACATTGTCATCATCTTCTATGGCCTCCCCAGTGAAGTACAGCACAGCCCGCGGGACTATCCGCTCACGGAAAAAGTGTCCAATTTCAAAATCAGAGGCTAATGTGAATTCAGAATCTTCATCCTGAGGAGGAAAAACCTACGTGTTAACTCATTTTAATGGGATAAAAACATTCACTTCACCACCCTCAGCCAAACCTCAGCCCCTCACTTTTGATTTACTTAACTTAAAACACCAAACTCCTGCACTGCTGGGGGACAGCCACTAGACACTCAAAGCCCCTTTAAAACAACTTTAAGTAGCTTTAAAGAGCTACTGAAGCAAAATGGCAGAGAAAGTGGGAAGTGAGGGCCCTACAGCTCCACAACTTGTCCAAAGGTCTCACCCAGAGTAGGCGGTATCAGTCTCACATATGGGAAACAGGCAGTATTAAAGCACTGCACATTTGCTACTGAAATCAACATATGAAACACATACTTTTACTTAGATGTGTAATGATTTCAAATTAATCCCAGAGTTTTAGGAAACAGAAATGGATTTTTTTTTTTTAAGAGACAGGGTCTTATTCTATCACCCAGGTTGGAGGGCAGTGGTGCAATCACAGCTCACTCCAGCCTCAAGCTCCTGGGCCCCAGCGACCCTGGAACTACACAGTGCACCACCATGTCCAGCTAATTTATTATTTTATCTTTTGAGACGGAGTCTTGCTCTGTCGCCCAATGGAATACGGTGGTGCAATCTCAGCTCACTGCAACCTCCTCCTCTCGGGTTCAAGTGATTCTCCTGCTTGAGCCTCCTGAGTAGCTGAGATTACAGGCGCTGCCACCGTGCCCAACTAATTTTTTTTTTTTTTGGTATTTTAAGCAGAAACGGGGTTTCACCATGTTGACCAGACTGGTCTTGAACTCCTGACCTCTGGTGATCCACCCACCTTGGCCTCCCACAGTGCTGGTATTACGGGCGTGAACCACCATGTTCGGCTGGCTAATTTATTTGGTTTTAATTTTTTGTGGAGATGGGGTTGTGCTATGTTGCCCAGGCTGGTCTCAAACTCCTGGACTCGTGCAGTCCTCCCACCTCAGCCTCCCAAAGCATTAAGATCACTGGCATACCCAGTCCACACACAGCCAGGACTGGACTTTTTTTAACAAGTAGACAAGTAGACATTCACTCAGGAGAGACTTCAACAGGAAAATAAGACTATTAACAACAAATCTTACCAGTGATTCTCCATCCCCGGATGCTAGAAAAAGAAAAGACAAAACATATTTAAATTACAGTGACAACTCCCAGAATTTTAAAGCCCACACAGGAGGAAGCTGTGCTGGTAGATAAAATGTAACATTTCTCACCTCGAGGTTTAACAGAAATCCCCAAAGCCTTGCATCTCCTCACAGACATCTTTGCAAGCTCCATCCACCACTTCTGAAGCTGGCCTGAGTGCCTCTATGCCCCCCTCCCTTCTCCTCCTCCATCATGTGCCATGGGCTGGCACTCAAGCTTGAGAAGATCATTTTGAGAGAGTTAATATATTAACAGGAGGAATGGCAAACAGCCCCCAGGCTGTGGCCATTCAGTGCATTTGTGCTTTATGGGGAAACTTAACTCATGTCCCGCAGAACTATACATGATGGTGCAGGAAAGAGAAAGTCCTTAAGCCTTATAAGCTGTGAGTGTTACTAAGGCACTGCAAATCAGCGAGACAGAAACTGCATTTCTGTTTGTTTGGAGAGTGCTGGAATGCCCACCAGGGGCCCCTGTAGAGTGGCGCAATTCCTCAGCGAAAGCTGATGCTCAGACGAGCTAAGCCCACCAAGACAGATAGGGACTTCTAACCACACTCAATGAAGCTGTGCAACGTTCAACTGGTAGAAGATCCAACCCCCTGATTTTAGAAACATTTACTACAAGACCCTGAGCTTCATCAGGAGTTGAATGTTTACTCTGCTTAGTCTCATACCTGCCTTTTCAATCTTCACTGGGCTCTCCTCTCTGAGTCTCCCTTCCCATTAAGCGACCACAACCCTGGCAGCACTTGCTGTTTGCTGCTGAGACATGAATGTTGGGTGCGTAAACACCACCCATGAGTGAGGCAGAGTTCCCAAGCCTCGGTGTGCCAGCATCACCCAGGGGTTTTAGACATGGGTTAGGAGCATGGCTGGGTGTCTAAATGCTGGAGCAGCATGCTCCCCAGGGCACTCTGGCCCAAGTCATGAATAGTACAAGGACTCTGAACACTCATACTTCTGGACTGGCTTTGCAGTTTTAAGGACAAAGGAGCTGGACTCACTAGCTAATGCCTCCTTCACTTCACACCACAGGAGTCCATTTTGTCTGTTCCTTCACTACCCCATTACCTATTCCGCAGCCATCCTCAATTTTTTTCAAAGCACTTACCATTTGGTATTATGTGTTTGATTACTTTAAAAGTGGCTTTACTGATGGGATTTACATACCATTAAAAGGCATACACTCTAAATGTACAACTTTATGACTTTCAGTACGTTAATTTTAGAGTTGTGCAACCATCATACCCTAAAAGTTTTAGAATCTAAAAAAAAAAACACTTAAAAATTCCCTTGAGTCCATTATCAACTCCATTTTTATCCTAAAAATTATTTTTAAATCAGTTTTAAGAGAACTTCCTACACAAAGTGATTCCAGAAATTAAAGCCTCCCTTCTTCACGCTGAATTCACAGACAATCTCCAGTATGCCCAACCCAAGTGTCTAAAAGGAATCTTCCAAAAAAAGGAAATGTAATATCTAAATTTATGACTGCTCTCATTCCCCAAACCGTATGTATTTGCATCTTCTAGGTTCAAAGTCTAATTGCAGAAAATAGGCACCACAATTAAAATAATGGACTGAACTCTGAAGGGCAGCTTGATAAATAAGGGTGCTAAGCTCAGAGACAAAATCAAAAAATCAATCACTCAGACTGGAGAAGAGATCCGCCCTGTGGCCCCACATACAAACAAACACTCACTGATTATCTGCAGCAGGGGCTGGCATCTCTTCACTTCAAATTATGTTTTAGTTCATGGAAACTAAAGAGAATATGGATATTTTAACACTGACAAGTTGCTTGACCTTCACATTTTCTCACGATTAGGAAATTATATGAAAAATCCCAAGAAATTTACTCTTAAAATCAATTGGTCAACCTTTACTAGCTCAAAGGTCTCATCTTTATTTTACCACTTAGGAAAATTTAAAAAATAAATAAATAAACAAAAAGAAGCAGCTTCCAAGCTGTGATTCTGCCGATGTTTTTCAAAAATGAAAGTCCCAACTACTTGTGTTTCTTACAATATATAAATTCCAAAAAATTCTATCAAATTATGCATAAAAAATTACAAGAAAAGGGGGACTAAGCAGATGATCCAAAAGCAGCACAACTAGAACCAGCGTACAGCAGTAACGGGTACCTGCAGAGCAAACCCAGCAGCTCTCCGAGGCTGGGAGTGGTCCCCGGGGGGTGCGAACCAGACACAACAGCGGGGCAGAAATGCCAGCTGGTGGAGAAGGGTGCTCCAGGTGTCCAAGTGAGGAAGCAGCCCAGGTGCAAATACTCGATTCAGTTTTCTTAAAACAGAACTGCAAGTTTTTGCCTGGGCTACAGCCAAGCAGAGTAAAGCTCTTCCCTTTCCTGCAGAAGATGACAATCCTACTCTTACTGTCCTAGCTACCTCTGCCCCCCGCGATAAACTTGCCAGCGCACCAACAGAACAGCCTGGGACACAGCAATGTGCCCCTACTGACCACACTTGCCTGAAAAAAGAGGACTAAAGTCTCTGGGTGTTAGGAATCTATCAGGTGACCAAAATTATTTTATATAAGAACATAATGAATATTAACAACCAACAGACTTGCCTTTCAATGGATTGAAGAAGTTGAAAAAGGACTCATTGGGTACTTGTTTCGTAATTGTTCTAACAGTGCCTCGACCCTTATGCTTCTGCTTTTTCTTGATGGTTTTGACAGTAACATTCTTTCCTTTCTTCCAGTCAATAGTACACCTACCAGGACAAGACAGCTGTCATGAACACACAATCCATGAGAAAAATCCATTACAAATGCATGCAGGAAGCAAACCACAGCTCTATGCCAAACCTGGAAAACGAAATAAAACCAATCTGCAAACCAAATACAATGGCCCATGAAGTTCATCTGGAGGTTGGCAAAAAGAGAAACAGCCTGGTCCTCTTTCAACTTGGGTGTGACCACTGGAACTTCAGACTTCTGGAACAATGGTATTATTTTCCCAAGACATTTCATCAGGACTCTGAAATGTATATTCTGTGGCAAAGCCCCGTCAAGTCTGCATGATGCACAAGAACTTGTCCGCGGTTTCCCAAGGAAGGAGGAGTTGCTGCTGTTCAAAGCAGCCAACTGAGCACGACAAGCTGAAAAAAGGAAAGAGGTGGCCACCGGGAATACTGATGGCCAGTGCAGACCACTCCAGCCCCAGGGATGCTGGCGAGGGCTGAGCACAGCACGCTCTCTCTAACACACAATCACCACAGACCCAGGCAACACCTGGCAGATCTCAATACTGCCCGCTTAAGAACATGCTTGGTAAGGCCAGGCCTTTTTCTCACATGATGTCCTGGCCCTGGAAAATCATCTTTCTAAATTACTCTAGCAGGATTTTAATAAAGTCCTGAATTAACAATTACTATTTACTTCTGGTAAATAAACGTAATTGTTTCAAGTCAAGACTAAAACCATTTCTCAGTCAACCCAACCTGGAGAAATTAATTCTAAACCAAATTCTCTCTTTAGTGATTTATAAAGACTGAAATCAGTGAGTCAAACAACAGCTATGCTGCCCCCACCTATTTCCAAAGCAATCAGCTGATCAATATAGCCCTGGACTCAGACTCATTCATTCAATAAGTATTTATTTGCTGAGGGTAATCCATGGATTCAATTTTAAGAACTTCAATTCACGATGTCTAGAGAATCCACTACTTTCATTAAAATGAAGAAACAGGGCACTATCCCAAAGGCTTGCATGTGCAACCACGTGACTCATTTCCCAGGTTCAGCCGCCATCTCCAAGTTCTGCACTATGAGCATTCCCAAACTGAAAGACTATTGAAATATACATCTACCAGGCTTTTAGGCTTTTAAGCAGACTCAAGACTGTACTTTATTCCTTACTTCTATCTTACCCATCAAGTTACAAAATTATCTTTTGATTTTGTTTCAGAAAAACAAGGTAGAATGACATTTTCTTACCCGTCACAGTCCACAATCTCAGGACCTTCAAAGGAAAAGGGATCAGCCTTATCTGGTTCTGATTTCATCTTGTAGGTTTTTGTCAGGACTGAGTTGGTAAAGTAGTCGTTGGGTTCAAAGTGGAACTCTAACACAAAAGACTAAAAGTAGAAATTCAGAGTAAGCACCAGTTAAAATAGAAAAATAACGAGGACAGATTGCTTGGAGTACACAACACTTACTAGAAGCTATTTTGGGAAAGCTCAACAGATAGGGCCATGAACAAGAAAAACTTCTCCACCGCAAAAAAGACTAGCGTGAGGTTAAAAAAACCAACGATGGACTGGCGGGAAATATCTGTTCAGTTCATGAGTAAGGGGCATGTTCCCCCTCCAATGCCTCCTCACCAATAGGCGTCAAGCTCTCCTAAGAAATCCTAGCTTCTCTTAGCTGCTCCCAGCCCTTGCTTCCTGGAAGGAGGGAAGGTGACTAGGGGAAAGTAAGGGGACCAGCAGTCCATCCTCCTCCTGTCCTTTTCCGCTCAGCCTAAGCCCCAGCCCCCACCCTGCTGGGGGAAGCCAGGGTCTCTACTCTGTGCTGTGCAGTGAAAGCAGTGACCCACAGCTTTTCTCCCGGGAGGTGGGTGGGAGAAAAGGACAAATCTCTACAAGGACAGAAAGCTCATCCCTCACTTACAAAGCACGCTACAGACCTGGAAGAGACGTGAGCACACCGGGAAAAAGGATGCAAACATGAACGCAGGCATAGAACAACCAACAGCAGCAACAAGGCATTCATGCTCACGAGTAACAAAACACATGAACACCAAAATGAGATGCCTTTCTTTGGGGCAAAATGTACAAAAATATGTAGACCCGGCCAGGATTTTGGGGTACTGAGCACACTCATGTACTGTCAACAGATTTTATGAAGGACAATTTGGCAATATCAAAAAAAATTAAATTAAAAGGCATATTCCCTGACTCAGTAATTCTATTTTGAGGAATTTGTTCTATTTGAGAAAAATACCTGGATGGATGCATCGATATGTGCAAAGACATTGACCTCATCCCTATTTATAGAAGAAAAACATGGAAGATGCGCTTGGTTGAGCAATTTATAGACAGTTTACAAGACCAGTTCTACGCTCAGACAGCCTGGATTCAAATCCCATCTCTGCCTACACTGCTAGGCAACTCGCGGAAGCTACTCAATGTCTCCGTGCTTTAGTTTCCTCATCTCTACACTGGAAATAACTCTCTCCCTCTCTAGGAGCTGCCTTGGTGGTTAATCTGTATCACTTAGAGCCGCGTTTATAGGCAAGGCTGGCTAAATGTCAGCTGTTTCCATTTTCATTGTAATGGTAAAACCATCAACGGGGGGGGAAATTAAGAGGACTAAAAAAAATATACAGCAAAAAAAGTTTATACATTCAAACAAACCACTTGCACAAAGGAGAAGTGAAAAAACAACTTTCAAAGAAAGGTGGAGGAGGAGGCGGGGCATGAGGGCTTAGGAAGTCAGGATCAGGGAGACAGTCTAGTCGGTTTCTAGAAGGGATGACAGCAGGATCTGGCTAGGAGCTCTCCACTGGCCTTGGCAAGAGCAAAGGAAGCGGGTAGGGCACTGCAGATGAACCACACAAACGAAAGGCCAGTCACCTGCCTGGCAAAAATCACAAGGAAAGGAAGAGGCAGCTACAGGGAATCAGCATCAAATAAAATGCCTATTTCTCTCCCAACCCTCCACGGCTTAAAAAAAAAAAAAAAAACCAACATAAAGAGGGAAGACAAGTAGCCAACCAATGGAGAGACTGCTATGATTCCAGAACTGTTTAAGGCTGTGACCACAGTGTGGACAACCAACCCAGGGCATGGGGTGGCCCCAATAAAACAAATAGTACTATTAGACTTGTGGTCCTTCACCATGTCCTACTCATTTTTTCCCCTCCTTTTTACTTTCTCTTTTAAAGACCAGTTCTCCCTATGTTGCCCAGGCTGGTCTTGAACTCCTGGGGTCAAGCAATCCTCCCAACTCGGCCTCCCAAAGTGCTGGGATTACAGGCGTGAGCCACCACACCCAGCCTACTTTTCTATAGATAGATTCATGTTTCTTCCTATTTTCCTTTTTTCTCTCCCCTCTGCCTTTGTTCAGTCAAGAGTAACCCAAAGACAACTGAAGATGATTCAAGAAACTGTTTAGCTGCCCAAATGAAAAGTGGCTTGAAAATAAGACTGCTTCATTCACACACGCACTACAGCCAGGTAAGCCATAAATATGCTAACCATGCTCAATCTTACAAGCAACTAAAGAAATGCAAAATTAGGCAGGGCCTGAGTGGCTCATGTCTGTAATCCCAACTGAACGACCTTTGGGCCTTCTAAAGCTTCATCTTCTTTGACTGGTAAGTACACTGAAAGGAATCTAAACTAAGGAAACCATCAAACATTTAATTTAACACAAATTTGGGTTCAAGTATGCTGATCATAATGCAACAATTTACAATGGGGGAGGTGGTGCATGTAGGGGAATGTTAAACTGTTTTATAGCCAATGGCTGCAGTAACAACTATTCCCCCAGCCAAGCCTGTGTGATGTGGCAGCAGGGTGACACTGTGCACACACCATGTGGTGTGGCAGGAGCCGTGTGGCACACGTGTGCACTGTGTATCCAGGTAGGCAAGCGCTCAAGGGAAGGGAATGAGGCATGCTGCAAAAACACCAGTCAAGACTCATTTTGAAGTTTCATTTATCTTTATAACTTAAAATGCATTAGACGCTTCATAATAATTTTACAAAGGAAAAAGAGTATGGGGAAATTCACTAAGCTGCTGAGATTTACTTTTAGAAGACAGATTTGTATAGTGTTCTTTACACTTGCCTGTATTTTCCACATATGACTTTTATAATAGGGAAGTAAAAAGAAAAAAAAAAATTACTGGTCCACAGTCTACCATAACCAGAGCTCTAGTCTATGAGTCACAATGAGATGGAGAAAAATAAGATGACAGGCTAAGAAAGAAAGAAAATTGACCTAGGAAATCATCAAACAGGTGTCCAATAAGAAAAAAAGAGGCCGGGTGTGGTGGCTCATGCCTGTAATCCCAGCACTTTGGAAGGCTGAGGCGGGTGGATCACGAGGTCAAGAGATTGAGACCATCCTGGCCAACATGGTGAAACCACGTCTCTACTAAAAATACAAAAATTAGCTGGGCGTGGTGGTGCGTGCCTGTAGTCCCAGCTACTCGGGAGGCTGAGGCAGGAGAATCGCTTGAATCCAGGAGGCAGAGGTTGCAGTGAGCCGAGATCATATCACTGCACTCCAGCCTGGTGACACAGTGAGACTCGGTCTCAAAAAAAAAAAAAAAAGAAAAAAGAAAAAAAAGGAAGAAAAGAAAAGGAGAAAAAAGAAAGGAAAAAAAAAAGGAACTGACCCAAAAGGGAAAAAAAGTTAATTGCGTCTGGATGAATCACAGGTAAGAAAGAAGTACAAAGAAAAAACGCACAGAAACTTAAAGCACCGCACGCTCACACCATGGGGAAGAGAATGCACACCAACGAGGGCAAACTAGGCAGACGTGCCCAGGCGGCTCCTGGGGGCCCTGTGATAAAGTCTAAACAGAAGTGATGCAAGCCCAGGAAGAAGGACCTGCTATAACCCACATGGGGGAAGGAAGATGGGGTATCCCCTCTGGAGGGCAGCCCCCAGCTGGTGAGCAGGCATCACTCCCAGCTCCCAGGGCCCCACCTAGAGAGGGACACCTGAATGTCACCTTCCATAGTGGAAAACAGACAGGAAAAAGTAGAAGAGACAGATACAGGTACATCCACTGCCCACCCCTGCTGCTGCCCCAGGCATTACTTGCAGCACTTGCAGTGAAGAAATCCCACTCCTAGTGGCCCTCATCCATTAGCCCAGGCCCCAGTGCTGAGATGGGGAGGAAGGAAGATACTGGTGACTGGCCCCAGGCCCCTACCACCATCACCCACACCCAAGATCCCTAACCCACAGCCCGTCATGCAGCATTTGTCTCCAAGACCTGAAACTGAAAGCCACCAGTCAGTCAGTCATGTGTCGCTGGAAATGCTATTGCACCGGAATGGAACCCATTAGCTACAGCCAGGCTAACGGGTTACGAACAGTGCTCCCTGGGAGAACCAGGCTGGGATGAGACAGTCTGGCAAGGCCATTTGAAGATGAGCATATGGTTCCTCAGATAAAAGTAAGGGCTGACCTAGTCAAGCTTATCTTACCAACTGGTAGGCTGATCCATGCCACTAACATTACTAATGCAATGATATGCCATGGCAAGCATATTGTAAAGACGTGTTTCAGGACAAATCAAAGAGCAGGAAAACATTTTTCAGTCTTATTTGCGCTTTTTTTTTTAGGGTAAAACCTAGTAGGTTCAGATTTCTGAATAAGTGCTGATCATTATGTGTACATAGCTCCCATCTTTTTAAACGTTAAACATATACATTAGATGCATGCAAACTTCAGAGACACTTGGGAAAAGAATGGTATCATCTCCACCCAACAGAGTAAACAAACAAACTACAAGACCGAGGCCTGGCACAGTGGACAGCACCACTACAGCCCAGGAGTTGCAGCCTGACTCCTGCATTGGTGCCCACCTGGCTGCAGGGTCTGGGGCATCACATGGTCTGCATCACTGTCAAATCATCCAGCACAGACTCACGACTACAGTGCCAAGCATGACACAGAAAGGCAATGGGATCCCCATCGAACTCAGGGAGCAAACACACAATGCGGTACTCAGTCTAACTCTTGGAGAGCAGTCTCGCCCAGGGCTGCCCAGCAGATGAGTGGCTGGGTGTGGGTTTTGTGGGTTTCTTGCCCCTGGCTCCAAGTTCTTCCATCTTTGTGGACTGACCCTGTCTGATGCCAACCAGAAGGTCAAGTCAGTACTCACCATAGGCTGTCCAGGGTCAGAAAATTTCACTTTAATATCCTGCAGGTGTTTCAAGATTGGTTCATCATATTCCTAATCAAAAAGAGAAAAAAAATTCCAACAGGCTTTTAAAAAAACAACACATCTCTCCCGAAGAGTCATGGTTGCAGAGGCTCCCAGATGTTGCATAACTAGCCCTATTGGAATTCTGTCCTTGTCAAAGTAATAACTACCAGGAAGAAACCCAGACTTATTCACCAACTCCCTGTCATAGAGAAGCAGCACCAAGGTGTCCCCTTTCCCTAGTGTGGAGCAACGGTGGCTGCCACTGCCAGCAAAGGGCAGTGCCACTGACACCCGCCTGCCTGCAATACTGGGGCAAGGGCCTTCACTGCTTTCCTGCCACCAGCTGCCACTGCACACAGAGATCAGAAATGCTACCAACCAAGACTGTTGGTCCTCAGCCTCTCTGAGGAGAAAGAGCAGAAGCCTGGAAGTCAGAAGAGAAGGCTAGATCGGCTACGGCCTTGGCAGCCAGCTTCCCCACCTGTGGCAATAAAGTTGTGCATGGCTTAACAATGGGGGCACCTCCTGAGAAACACATTGTTAGGCAATTCGGCGTGTGTTCATCAGAGCATATTTACACAAACCTCGATAGTGCAGCCTACTATCCACTATTGCTCCTACGCTGCAAACCTGAACAGCATGGGACTGTACTGAATACTGGAAGCAGCTGGTGATGGTACTTATTTGTGTATCTAAACACAGAGAAGGTACAGTAAGAATATGGTATCATAATCTTACAGGACCGCCATCCTATATGCAGTCTGTTGTGACCAAAATGTGTTATGTGGCTCATGACTGTATCCAAAACTCACAATACACACAGTCACTTCTTTATTTTTTTTGAGACGGAGTCTGGCTCTGTTGCCCAGACTGGAGTGCAATGGTGTGATCTTGGTCACTGCAAGCTCCGCCTCCCGGATTCAGCCTCCCGAGCAGCTGGGACTACAGGCACCCGCCAACCATGCCCGGCTAATTTTTTGTATTTTTAGTAGAGACGGGGTTTCACCGTGTTAGCCAGGATGGTCTCGATCTCCTGACCTTGTGATCCACCCACCTCGGCCTCCCAAAGTGCTGGGATTACAGGCGTGAGCCACCGCGCCCGGCCACACACGGTTACTTCTTTAAGAACACTTACACAGAGCGTGTCTGAGATCCAACTTGCGGGCACCATGGAAGAGTGGGCATCATGGAAGAGCGTACAATTCTTATCTGTGTCTGTATCATTTTACAAGTGATATTTCTTTAAACTCATTTTGCCAATACCTGTCAGCTTAGAAAGTCCCAGTGAGGAAAGTCAGAAGAGGAGTGGGAAGACCTGAATCCTCAGAAACACGCACTGGCAGCAGGCGCTTCATTTGTAACATGGCAGTCACTTCTTTACCCCCAAAGTCTGGGCACTGAATCTCAAAATGTCTTGAAGTTGCATTAAGTTTTTCTTAAATCATTTTTTCTCTTTTTTAGTTGTATGTAATAATTGTACTATTTATGGGACACAGTGACATTTTGATGCACGTACACAATGTGTAATAAATCAGGACCATCACCTCAAACATTTATTTTTGAACATTCAAAACCCGTCCTCTAGCTTTCTGAAAACACGCACTAAATTATCGTTAGCCACATTCACCCTACAGTGCTACAACACACCAGAACTTACTCCTCCAATCTAGCAGTCACTCTGTATCTGATAACAGACCTCTCAACAGACCTCTCCCTATTTATCCTCCCCTCTCTCTCCCTCTTAGCCTTTATCAACAATTCTCTGCTTCGGTGAGCTGTTTTTGTAGCTCCCACATGAGTGTGAACGTGAGGTATTTCCCCCCTTTCTGTGCCTGATTTTCCGTTGAGTCCTAATTTTCAACTCTTCTGACATAAAACAAAACAAAAACAGCAACAAAAAGATACCTGCAAGTATCTAGACAAAAAGTAACCCAAAGGCAGTTGTGAAATGGGCCACACCTGCATGCGATGTTCAGTCTCCAATGCTGCGCGTGCCACCCACAGAAGCATGCGCTGGCTCTAGATCACCAAGATGAGCACTTCCACCAGCATGCTTTCCAGAGATGGCACTGGGACTTCAAACTCATCCCACTCAAAGACGCAGTGCCCACTCATGTTTTCCCAAACTTCATAAAATAACCATTATGTTCTAATTTCCTCAAGCAGCCATGTACCCTGTGGGTCAAAACTTTAAATGTCCAGGGCAAATATTAAGGTAATGCCCCACACTGGCAGACGCTCAGACTCAGGAAGCAAAGGCACAACACTGGAGGCATCGCACTCAGATCGTAAAGCCGCCATCTCAAATTTTCCACTCTCCTTGCAGAAATATATTTCAACTATCCCCAAATTTAGAACAAAGGGACTCAGAGTTAATCCGCCTTTGGAATTTAATATTTGACCAAAATGAGCTGGGCATAGTGGCGCATATCTACAGTCCCAGCTACTCGAGAGGACCCCTTGAGGCCAGGAGACTGAGACAGCAGTGTCCTGACTGTGCCTATGAAAAGCCACTGACCTCTAGGCTGGGCATCATAGCAAGACCATGTCCCTTAAAAATGAAAGGGCTTCTCTCAGAAATGGCAGACTTCAAAACCAGACATTAAAAAACAACTGTTGGCCGGGCACGGTGGCTCACGCCTGTAATCCTAGCACTTTGGGAGGCCAAGGCAGGCGGATGATGAGGTCAGCAGATCGAGACCATCCTGGCTAACACAGTGAAACCCCGTCTCTACTAAAAATAAAAAAATTAGCCAGGCGTGGTGGCGGATGCCTGTAGTCCCAGCTACTCGGGAGGCTGAGGCAGGAGAATGGCGTGAACCCAGGAGGTGGAGCTTACAGTGAGCCAAGATCACGCCACTGCACTCCAGCCTGGGCGACAGAGCGAGACTCCGTTAAAAAAAAAAAAAAAAGAAAATATTGTTAAAAAAAAAAATCAAAATAGAATATGCTACCATTACCTGCTATGAGGTTACAAACAGTACAAATAACATTTCCTCATTCTCTGCATATTAAATGAGTACTCTATCAACCCCTGCATATCTTTTTAAAGCTGTTAAAACAAAAAGCAACAAAAGACACTTCATGGCTGAAATGCTGAAGCACTGACACTACTACAGAGGTGCTGGGAGAATGAGAAGGGACACCCCATTTAAAATGTGGCCAAATGCCTCACTGTGCTCTCAAAACCCAAGGCAGCACTATCCATGGCCAGTGACCCCAATGCCATAACCAGGTGGCCACACGCACAGAAGGGGACACCAAAACTCACTCAAGTCACCTAACTCTAGCTCCCAAACCCTGTTATCACTGCACCCCCAATCCCACGTGAAGATGCTCCAACCCTGCAGTGCAAGAATCACCCCAGGGCCCATGAGCCAGACAGCCCCACAGAACCAGAATCCGCACTGCCATGGCCACTCCCCATGCCCCCCGAAGTCTGAGAAGAACGAACTAAGAGCTAGTCTTTCCACCTGCTCCCTGCCATGGAGATTTTCAACTCTCAGGGTGCACATTAGAGTTCCTAAAACCAACTCAAAACTCTCAGTGCCATGGTGACAGATGAGGCATTTAGTTTTTGCTATTTAGTTTTCAAAGCTGCTCAGGTGATTGTAATACACAGGGTGAGACTACGGCTCTGGTAGACATTACTTAATTTTTCCAATGAAATTCTGGTGCATGGCATTCTTTTAAAAGTATGGTCTAGTCTTCTTAAATTCCACCTTTTCATATGAAAAGGAAGCTCAGATCAGGAAAAACCAAGGCTGTTCTATTTTAGATGCTTTCTGGTCTGGAAGGAGAATAAGAAATACATCATTCTTTCCATCTTTTCTCAAGTTTTGGCTTAGGACACAGGACAAGCATTAAACAAGGGAGGTAGCAGAGGCAGCAATGTGATACATTTGTGAAAACCATTAAAAACCGTAGCTGTAAAATCCTGTGCAAATTACAATGTAGCAGTTTGCAACGCACAGTGCCTATGCTCTGTGATGGGAGAAGCACTCTGCCCACACAAGCAGAGCCTGCAGCTGTCCTGAGCAAGTCTGAATGCAGACGTACTGTTTCTGGGGACGCTGGAGCAATAAAAACTGACAGCAAGTCAGTCAGTGAGACTTAAGGCAAGATTTGTTTCTCTGTTCTAGAAACTTCTATTATAACTCATTTCAGGGAAAACCAAATTTGTTACCTTTTAATTTGTTCACCATTTCACTACAGAAAGTGAAATGTCAAGGCAAGACAAAATCAGAAATGGTGGTTGGGTTTTGTTGTTGTGTTGTTTTTTGTTTTTTTTTTTTTTTGGAGACAGGGTCTCTGTCACCCACCAGGATGGAGTGCAGCACCGTGATCACAGCTCACCACAGCCTCAACCTCCTCGGCTCAGGTGATCCTCCTGCCTCAGCCTCCCAAGTACCTGGGACCACAGGCGCACACCACAACGCCCAGCTAACTTTTCTATTTTTTGTAGAGATGGGATTTCGCGATGCTGCCCAGGCTGGTCTCAAACGATCTGCCTACCTTGACCTCCCAAAGTGCTGGGACTACAGACATGAGCCACCATGCCTGGCCTCTTTTTTTAAAAAAAATAAACACTTTTTCAAGAGAAATGATCAGAAAATATTAGCAACTTGTTCAAAAATTCACTGAGATGTGTGTGTACACACACACACACAAACAAACACACAGCTCATCCCTTCAAAATTCATTCTGCTCTGGTCTCCTGCCCTCACCCTTTCCTGCACACTCACACCACAGTAAGACAGAGATGGGCTCTGGAATCTATTCATAGGCTTTCCCACAGGCAAGACAACAGAGCTTTACAAGAGGTAAAAGGAACTGATTTGAAAGTTTTGGATCAGGCTGAAGCGCCCAGCTTTCCACCAAGAACTGCAAAAGACAGCATGGAAGCCCCACTGTGAATAAACCATTCACTGTGAGATCAGGACTGCTCATCTGAGGTCCTGGTCAGAGAAAGTGCCCTTCCGCCCACTATGAACAATCTTTCAATGCCCAGTGTAGTGCTTAAAAAATGCCATAGATAAGTAATGTTAGAAGACTAGCACATAATCTCTCTACAAGACAGAAGTGTGCTTACCTGGACTAATTCACTCAGCATGTCCACATTTCTGAAGATGGTAAACCAGAACTCTGGAATTCCTTTGGGATCTGGCTCTTCAGCCGTTGCCGCTGCTTTTTCTGTGACGACTACTTTACTTTTCATGTCTCCCTAAAAAAAAGATGCAACATAGGTAACGAAAATAAAAGTTTACAAACAATGCAGGGGCTTCACGTAGAATATCGTTGCCGAATCCTCTACTATCTCCCATCAAACACCTTGCTTTCTAAGTCTGCACCTCCAAACCACTCACTGGGCCACGCGACACTTTTCAGATGCTTCTGAGGAAAAAGCATTCAAGTCATTACATCCACACGGAATTCCGTACCATTTCACATCAAAGGCGAAGAAACTAAAGAGATGACAAAGTGCCACCGACGCTGGGAAAGGCCATCCAGTGCTAGCTCTGTGAGGTGCCATCCTGAGACAATCATCATCACAAATGCAGATGCAAAGACTGTACATCAACCTTAAGGAGATGCAATGCAAATATGCAGAACATCTAGCACTGGGCAAAAAAAGTCCAGTGCAAGGATAAAGAAGTTCACTTGGACTAATAATCTGACCTCTTGTTAAAATTTGTGGGGTGCTAAGTTGAAATAAAAAAAAAAAAATTTGCCGCAGCAGTATCTGCAGCAAGAAAGTGCTCAGCAACTTATCCAGCTTGTAAGGAAGTGGCTATAAATGCCAGCTCAGACACCACGCAAGCATCAGAAAGTGACCAGAAAGGCCACATGGCAAAAGGAAGGGGAGTCAGGCCCCAGGGAAAAGGTAGACCAAGGGAGGTGAAACGCAACACCAGATGCAACTATGGGAAATTCTGAATGCCTTGCCAAACGGGATTGTTATGATGAAATGATCTTGAAATGAAAGGCCTTTTAAATCAGCAAAGGCAGATTTCCCTTGAGCTGTTAGAAACTGATTCACAACTGTATTAATCCACAGCCATGGCTTCAATTAGGCCAGGTTCTATATATTTTTAAAGCATCAAAAACACATATGGCTACCAAAATCATCATATACCACCCCCCCCCAAAAAAAAAAAACTGCAAAAAGTTAGTTATAGGATAAAAGTTACTTGTCTCCCAAACATAAAATCAGGCTGACAAAGTTAATCCATGGTACACTGGGAGTTTTCACAGCACTGGAATGGGACCAGTCACTAGAAAAAGGCTGTGAGCAGGTGACTGATGGCCACACCACAACCACCATCTGCAACCAATCCACTGGCGGAGCACCTCTCAGGGGGCAAGCTAGTCCATGCCACTGAGCAGGAAGGCACTCCCCTCACAACTCCCCCAATCTTCCAGTGACTGAGAACACAGGGGCATCTCTTCTTCATCTTTGCTTTCTCTGATGTTTTAATCTTTGTTGGTCTGATCCCTTATTTCAATATGCTCCTGTCCACAGATAACTGAGGTGGCACTACATCTTACTCCTATTAACTGACAGTACTGTGTCAGATGCTAGATCCATATCAGAAAGGAATCTAAACCCAACCTAATGATGCAGCAGCACCTACTGTTAGAAGCACATAAGTTTACTAGTCATTAAAAATCATTAAAAAATGCTTATTTTTAACAGTATTAAAACAGAACATGAGTCACATGTTTCTAAAGACTTACAGCCAATTTCTCTTCCTCTTCATTTTCACTGTGCCATTCCGATTCCGCATCTGTTGGTTCAACATCGCCGGTGATAAATTCTCTTCTCTACATAAAAATGAGACCTTATTAGAATTATGTTATTAGCTTACTTAGGAACTCAAGAGTTAAATTTATAAATAATGTCTACTAAAAGACTTTGAAAACTGGATATTTTTATAACTTATTTTAAGATTCTAAATTTTAGGGTTCAAAGAAAAATATTAAATGATTCCCTGGGTAAACCTGGATGTTTCACCTAAAGATGTAAAATAAAGACAGTCCCCGATTTCCAATGGTTCAGCTAAAGATTTTCAACTTCCTGATGGTGCAGAAGCCATCACACTTTGGGCACCAATACAGCCACACTGTGTTCCTCTCTCTGTGTAGGGTTCAATACATTACGCGAGATACTCAGCACTTTATTATAAAATAGGCTTTGTGGAAGATGATTTTGCCTGACTGCAGGCTAATGTTAGCGTTCTGAGCTTGTTTAAGGTAGTCTAGACTAAGCTATGTTTGGCAGGTTAGATGCGTTCTTACCCTAGATGTTGTCAACTTATAATGGGTTTATCGGAACCTAACACCTTCGTAAGCTGAAAACTATCTGTATATTAAATTAACAGAGCTCCCTACCTTGTCAAAGAGAGGCTGGTATAGCGCTGCATACTTTCTTTCCAAGTCATGTACCTCTTCATAGAACTTGGCTTCTATGTGAGCACATCTCACCTGAAGTTGTTTCAATGCATTAATTCTTCTTTTTACTGCTTTAGGTAAACTAAAAAAGGGAGTAAGAAATACAACATCCTCATGCCTGCAAAATAAAGCAGCATGCTTTTCAATTTTATTAAAATAAATTTAGGTTAACATGGAATCAACATCCTTACTATGAACAAGACCTCTTAAAAATTAAGAAAAGGACAATACCCCAACAGGAAAAAAAGGATACAGGAGGAAGCAGAAAAAATAATTCACAAAAGAAAAAACACAAATTGTCAAACATGAAGAAAGATTCAATTTCATAAAATATCCAAAAGAATGCAAACATTTAAGAACACTCAGCTTTTCCTTACCAAATTGGCAATTAAAAACCAAAACAAAACACCCAGGTTTTACGAGGCTAAGGGCCAAGAAGCCCTCTAACTGACTCATCTTTCTGAAGGGCAGAAATATTGAAAATGTTCTTTGGACCCAGTAATTCTATTTCTAAGAATTTATCCTTAAGGCTGGGCGCAGTGGCTTATGCCTGTAATCCCACCACTCTGGGAGGCCAAGGTAGGATTGCTTGAGGGCAGGACTCCAAGACCAGCCTGAGCAATACAGCAAGACCTCTCTCTACAAAAAAATTTTAAAAAATTAGCCAGGCATGATGGTGTGCGCCTGTAGTCCCAGCTACTCAGGAGGCTGAGGTGGGAGGATCACTTGAGTCTGTGAGGTCAAGGCAGCAGGGAGCTATGATTGCGCTACTGCACTCCAGCCTGGGAAACAGAGCAAGACCCTATCTTACCAAAAGGAAAAAAAAAAATTTATCCTAATCAAGTATTTATGCTGGAGTGTCCGTCGATAGATCTGTACAAGTGAAAAACTGGACAATGCAAGTGCAACAGCATTCAAATATGGCCTATTCATAATCACACTGTCCAGGAATATTTAGTGCCACGTGGGAATCCACACTTGTTAACACACTGGAGGAAAAAATCTGAGAAACACAGACCACAGGCAACACAACTTTGTCCTGGAGAGTCAGGTCAACTATGAGTTTGCCTTTCAATTCTGTTCTATGTTTTAAAAAATAGTTGTTATGTATAACTTTTATAAATCAGAAGAAAAATCCTTGTTTAACCCATCAAAACTATTTGTTCAAAACGAAGCCCCTGGTCACAATCATGTGGACTGAACAGCAGATTCCTGGCCTCATCATAGACCCAAATAATCTACCTGGGGCAGGGCCCTGGGTCCTGCATCTTGAATACTCATTCACACAATCAGAGTCTTCAAGTCTAAGCACTTGACTTACCCTCCAACAACAGACAGCACAGAGCAGTAGGCAAGTCACACACACATATCACTGGTCTGGGAGGTATTAGAACAACTGCCTTGCATCCCAAAGGACCACTCTCCTGGGTGAAATACAACCACAGCTACCTCAAGCTAAAGGTCCTTAGTTTAAGCAAAGACTCTCAAATAATGCTTAACATTCTAGAACTACTGCTAGTAGTAGATGAAAAAAAGGGAAAAGCAGAAAGAATTTAACAAAATGGTAGACTCCCACTGCCATTTTTACCCCTTTTCTGCACTGGTCATTCATTCATTCATTTATTGTGACAGGATCTCACTCTGTTGCCCAGGCTGCAGTGCACTGGTGCGATCTCGGCTCACTGTAGCCTCAACTTTCTGGGCTCAAATGATACTCCCACCTCAGCATCCTGAATAGTTGGACTACAGGGGCACATCACCATGCCCAGCTAATTTTTTTGCATCCTGTAGAGTAGGGGTTTGACCATGTTGCCCAGGCTGGTCTCGAACTCCTGAGCTCAAGCAATCTGCCTGCCTCGGCCTCCCAAAGTGCTAGGATTACAGGTGTGAGCTACCATGCCTGGCTAATTATACAATTTTAAATTAGTTTAATTTTTGAAGCTTTCCAACTGAAGTAAAATGACAAAGGATTTTTTTTTTTAATTATACTTTAAGTTTTAGGGTACAAATGCACAACGTGCAGGTTTGTTACATACGTATGCATGTGCCATGTTGGTGTGCTGCACCCATTAACTCGTCATTTAGACAAAGGATGTTAAACAAACTGGACCCTAGTGTGCCCCCAACAGTCCTTCAATCATTCACACCAACTACACCCAGCCCTCTGCCGGCACTTTTCCTGCAATATGGCTAATATGGAACCACTTCTAGTCCCACATAAACCTGATCCCACTCAAGCAGTTCCTCTCACAGAATGCCACCCCACCAACCCAGTTTCTAAAGCGAGAAAACTAGAAACCATTACTCATTCTCATTCTTGCCACTCCCACTCAGTATCACCCCATCCCATCAATCTAGTCTGCAAAAAAAATAACATCAAAACACCTTGCCCACTAAGTAATCTCTGAGAAGCTTCTAAATGGGCAAAGCAAACTCTGAATGTCACCTTCTAGGCCAGGCGCAGTGGCTCATGCCTATAATCCCAGCACTTTGGGAGGCCAAGGTGGGCAGATCACCTGAGGTCAGGAGCTGGAGATCAGCCTGGCCAACATGGCAAATCCCTGTCTCTACTAAAAATACAAAAACAAAACAAAACAAAACAAACAAAAAAACACGTGCAGCAAATCACCATGGCACATGTATACCTATGTAACAAACCTGAACACTCAGCACATCTACTCCAGAACGTACAGTGAAATAAATAAAACTACAAAAAACTAGCCGGGAGTGGTGGCGTGCACCTGCAATTCCAGCTACTCAGGAGGCTGAGGCAGGAGAATCACTTGAACCCGGGAGGCGGAAGTTGCACTCCAGCCTGGATGACAGAGCAAGAGTCTGTCTCAAAAAATAAAAATAAAAAATAAATGTCCCCTTCTTGTCGTAATAGCCCTGGCAGTCCTGACTGGGGAAACCAGCTGGAAGGTGGGGCCTCCTGGGAGACCAAGCCCTGACCCAATTATAGATGGAAGCCCAGTAACAGCTCATCCCTTTAAAAAAAAAAAAAAAAAAATTGCCATGCATGGTGGTGCATGCCTGTAGTTCCAACTACTCTGGAGGCTGAGGTAGAAGGATTACTTGAGCTCAGGAGTTCAAGGTTACAATGAACTATTACATGCCACTGCACTCCAGCCTGAACAACAGTGAGACTCCAACTCAAAAACCAAAAATTCCTTCCAGAAGTAAGAGAGGTCCTGACAAGAGCCATCCTAGGATTCTAGGATCACCACCCTTATCATTTTCATAGTGCAATACATCTAGCACATAGGCCTCTCTTAAGAAAGCAAAGGTGTCAGCCAGGCGCGGTAGCTCACCCGTTATCCCAGCATTTTGAGAGGCTGAGGCGGGAGAACCAATTGAGGCCATGAGTTCAAAACCAGCCTAGGAAATACAGTGAGACCCCATCTTTTTTTTTTTCTTAAAGACAGTCTCACTGTCACCCAGGCTGGACGGTAGTGAAAACTCATAGGCATGCGGCACTATGCCCAGTTTTTTTTTTTTAAGGTGTTGGTGTCACAGGCTCATGTGGGTAAGTCAGGAAGGAGTGGTTCTCTTAGTTTAACTTAGGAGCCACCAGCTGTCCTCTCCAACTCAGATGATCTGTGAAGTCCTCTAGCCCTCCACAGGATGGCACTGTGCACTTCCTATCAGAACTGACAGGTCACGCTACTCCATCCACCAGGCAAACTCTCAGCCTAGGCACCGGGTAGGGTCACTCCTCTCATATCCCAGTGCCTGTCTCTCATAGACAATGTCTTGGAACGAAAAAAACATTTAATCCTGTTCTGGGGAACTGAAAAGTGGTTTTTCCTTTATTTTCCTTTTGTTTCTCCAAATTGCATGAGACCCTATTCACAGCACACTTACGTTTCGATGTAGCTGGAAGGGGTGTGAGGGACATTGTCAAGTCGCTCCTGTAAAGCTGCCAGAACTCGAGGATTCTGCATCACCTGATCTGTGAGCTTTTCTATGAAGAGTTAAGACCAAACATATTTAAAATATGCCCACCACACACAATAGCCAAGAGTCAAAAATTAGTAACATATCTACTTAGCTTTGCCTAGATTTACATCTACTAATTTCTAAATACATACACCAGTGACTTCTTAAACATGTTTTGAAAATAATTAAAATTTATTTTAAGAGCATTTAACACTCTGGGTTAATCACCTGATGGGTAGTTACAAATTTACTGAATAAACACCTAGAGAGTCCTGGCTCTCACCAGGACTGTGGCTGTTTAAGCACCAGACTTAAACAACTGAGGACATCATTAATGTAAGTTCACATGGTCTACCCCCAAGTCCCATGGTGGTGTCCAGAAGCCACGAACAGAGATGAGATCAGTTCCTCAAAGTAAAAGAGCATCCACTAGCTCCCTTGCTCACTGTGGTGCCATAGACTTCACAGTCCAGGAGAGCCCAAGGCTCACTAGCTCTCTGCCAGCACTGTTCCCTAAGTTTTCTTTGCATGTGCTACTCGCCTCTGCCTTGAATGTCCTTCTGCCCAAACCCACCTCCCTCCAGGAAGCACTTCTGACCATTCCACCCCACTTAGGGCTAACCTACATGTGTAGTGAGCTCACAATACCAAGCTGTTTGTATTTATAAGCCCATTTCCCAATAAACCAATGAATGAGATCCTGACAAGGTAGTGACTGTCCTTTTACCCAGTTGTGACTATGAAGTGGCAGACATCTGGCTCATGACACAGACTCTTAACAATCTCCCTCTTAATGACACAATACAGAAATCCAAACCCAGCGCCCTTCCCTTGCTTAGAGCCAGTACATACCCGAGTATTCTCCCATCCCGAGTATTCTCCCATCCCGAGTATTCTCCCATGATGTGGGTAAGTCAAACACACCAAGCAGGCACTCAATTTTAAACATTCATAATAGAACTGCAAACACAACCACTAACATGAAGCACATGAAGTGTATTTAAGGTACGTAATTTGTATATATAAAACTGTGTACACATGTGTAGTATATAAATACTACATGCATATACAAACACATATGAATGGGTGCTAAAACCTCCGTGTGAAAGTTTGCTGAAGAGGAAGAGGATATTTACACGTGCCTGACAGATTGCTTCCAAGGTGAAAGGACCTTGGTAACAGAGAAGTCTGGCAGGCACTGTCTTAATCATCAATCTCAGTGTCCTTGGGCAGGTGCCGAGCCAACACCCTGTGCCTCCGGAACCAACGACCACTGCATCATGTTACCTGTGTGCCCTTCTTGCCAAAATGTTTACCCTGAATCTCATCAGGAAGAAACGACTGGGCAAATCCAGACTGTGAGCATTCTATAAGACAACAGTGGCCCAGAGCGCTGATATGTTGATGTATTAATAAAAGATGCAAAAGGTAGGGAGATGACTCTAGAACAAAACAAAACGCATGATCCTTGAATAGGTGCTAGATTCGGGCGTGGGGTAAAAATTGCTGAGAAAACCAGGGAAACAGGAGCATGACTGTCTATTAGAGAATGGTATTGCTCCAGTGTTAAGTTTCTTGGTAATGACATTGTAGAATTGTTTTAGGAAAATAGATATCCACCACTTGCTTTCAAACAGTTTGGAGGGAGTGGGGAGTACAGATATAGTTTTTTTTAATGGTGGAAAAATATCACATCTGTGAATTTATGAACAAAATGACATTCTTAGGATTTGCTTTCCAAAGGAAGGAAAGTAAAGGGTATAGACTTAAAAAAAAAAAAAAAAAAATGGCCAGGAGCAGTGGTCTGTGCCTGTAGCCCCAACTACCTGGGAGGCTGCGGCAGGAAACTGCTTGAGCCCAGGAGTCCAAGACCAGCCTGGGTAACACAGCAAGGCTCCATCTCAAAAATAAGAAAAAAGACTGGTCATTTGTTAATCAATACTAAAGCTCACTGATGGTAGCTACAAGAAGGTAGACTGTACTATTACTCTCTTTACTACTGTAGAGTCTGAATTCCTATAATAAATACATCTTTTGTTAATGAGATACTGATTTTTCATTTTAATTACTCTAGCTTTCCTAAAACCACTGCAGTACAGGAATCCTTTACTTGCATTAATAAATGTTTCCAGAGAGAGGAACGTTCCCCATACTGGATGCAAACTCTCCATGTGCAGTGTACTGACCTGTGTTACTTGCATTTTTAGCAGCTTCCACGGAATCTGAAGGAACCCCATCTGAAAAACTAAAACAACAGTATGTTTAAAAAGTATTACTGTAAAGAAAGTTCCAAAGACATAGCACAAATGGACATGTTTCTTATTCAATATATTAAGAGGTATCTGTACAGTGACGTCAGATTTGGGCAGAAGAAAACTACCAATGTGCATGTTATCTCAGAGGCTGTCCTCTCTGCTATAAAAATATTCTACTACGTAACATCCCCTCTCCTCTCCCAAACATAAAGCCCTACAAAGTTCTTATTTCCAACCTTAGCCAAAGCTTCTTAGCTCTCATTTCTACAGCTTCTTTCCTCAAAAAATCTGCTCCCAGCCCTCAAACCAAACCCATCAACCAACGAACATGTTACTGTTTGGTCAGCTGCTCATGTGATCAGAGCAAGGCAGTCTTACCAAGTTAAGACAGTGCCCAAAGTGGCTTTGTAAAATTAGCCACAACAAGTGTAAAATGAGCCATGAAACAGTTTTTAAAGATGCCTGGACACACCTCCCTCACAAAAAATAAACATCAAATAATATACACAACTAAAAGTAACCCTCAATCCACAAAACAAAATCTTCCACTTGATCACTGACAACTACAGACTGTTAGGAGAGTGTCAAAATTACCTGACTTCACCCCAGGGGTGTTAAAGCATGGAGAGCAAAACGATTGCTTTCCATAAAAGATCTGTAGTGTCAATGTCTGAGGCACTGTTCATGTCGGAAGTAATTTCTTTACGTGCTCAAATACATACACAAGAAATGAGCCATCAGCTAGACGCTGAAATGCATTTAACTTTGATTCTAATTATTTATTGAAAAATGGCTTGGCTGTTGCTCACCAACTGAATTTTAAACTCCAATAAACAAAGTCCACTTTGGCTTACCTGTGATCTGCCATCTGAATGTTTTTATCCCCTATAAATTAAAAAGAGTTGTAATAATTATATTCATAAGCAAAAATGTTTGTTCAATATACTTTTTAAACAACGGTTATCTGTGGGATGGAGTCCACTAGAAGGGACAGGAGGGAACTTTCTAGAGTGATGAAAATGTTCTAGATCTTGACTGAGGTTACCTGAGTATATACACTTGTTAAAGCTTATTAAACTATACACTTCAGATCTGTGCATTTCATCACACACAAACTTTACTCATAAAAAAATTTCTCGGCCTGGCGCGGTGGTTCACGCCTGTAATCCAAGCACTTTGGGAGGCCGAGGTGGGTGGGTCACTTGAGCTCAGGAGTTCGAGACCGGCCTGACCAACATGGTGAAACCCCATCTCTACTAAAAATACAAAATTAGCTGAGCGTGGTGGTGCACGCCTGTAATCCCCGCTACTCAGGAGGCTGAGGCAGAAGAATCACTTGAACCCAGGAGGCGGAGGTTGCAGCGAGCGGAGATCATGCCACTGCACTCCAGCCTGGGCAACAAGAGTGAAACTCCATCTAAAAAAAAAAATAAAATAAAATAAAATTATCTTATTGGCACTAAAATAACCAGACTTCAGAATAACATTAATTCTAATTTGCCTTATTTTTTATAATACATTCGGCAACACAAACATACATTAATGATAGCCCAACCATTTTAGAGTAAGTCAAAGCATTTACTGGTGTTTACACTTTCAAATTAACTTATGGGATTATTTTCTAATTGCATTTGTTTATTCCGTATCTTCCATTACTTCTACACTGAGGATGTATTGCTTGTGTAAAAACCTTGTGTAATATACTCAGTATTATTCCACTTTTAAAGATGATTATTTCTATATTGGTAGAATTAGATGACATTGTAACTGAATATTAAGGGTGTGTTCTAGGGCATTTACTTCTTAAATAGAAGAACTTGATATTAATAAAACTAAAAAAAAGTTATCATTTTTTTTGAGACAGGATCTCAGTCACCAAGGCTGCAGTGTAGTGATGCAATCCTGGCTCACTGCAGCCTCAACTTACTGGGCTCAAGCAATCCTCCCATCTCAGCCTCCTGAGTAGCTGGGACAACAGGCGCAGGCCACCATGCCCAGCTAATTTTATTTTTTGTAGAGATAGGGTCTGGCTAAGTTGCCCAGGCTGAGTCCCAAACTCCTGGCCTCAAGAGATCCTCCCACCTCAGCCTACCAAAGTGTTGGGATTACAGGTGTGAGTCAACACGCCTGGCCTATACAATTTCAAAATCTAATCTAAATGCATTTAAAGTAACAGCTAAATGCACAGCTTAAAAAGGTCCTTAAATGTAAAATAATACAGGTGTGGTTACGAAGTTCCTTAAACTCAGATGTGGGAAATACACCTGAGGGCCTCGCTAAACGGTTGTTCCAGCTGAAAACTGGCCAATGTTCATTCTTCAGTACCTGAGCAAAGCCCAAACCACTGAATCACATAGCTTTAGGGTAAAACCAACAACAAAAAAACCCCTCTATATTTAACAAAAACAGTTCTAATTATGATCTATGACTGTCCTGTATTTAACTCAACTACTTTTTTAAAATTTTTATTGTTTAGAAATAAAACGTGCTATTTTTAAGATTCAAAATACAACAAATATTACACATTGTCTTTTTCAAAAAAAATAAATTATGTTTTAATGAAGAAGATGAAAACCAAAAAGAAAAAAAAAATGCAGCAGGCACAGTGGTTCATGCCTATAATCCCAGCACTTTGGGAGGCCAAAGTGGGCAGATTAGTTGAAGCTCAGGAGTTTCAGACCAGCCTGGGCAACATGGGGAAACCTCGTCTCTACAAAAACAAACAAACAAACAAAATTAGCCAGGCGTGGTGGTGTGAACCTGTAGTCCCAGCTACTCAGGAGGCTGAGGCAGGAGAATCGCTCGAGCACAGGAGGCAGAGGTTGCAGTAAGCTGAAATAACACCACTGCACTCCCGCCTGGAAGACACAGTCAGACTGTCTCAAAACAAAAAGAAAAAAAAAAAAATGAGGCTGGACACAGCGGTTGATACCTCTGGTCGCAGCTACTTGAGAGGCTGAGACAGAAGCAACACTCGAGCCCAGGAGTTGGAGGCCTGGCGGCTGCAGTGACCTATGACTGCGCCACTGAACTCCAGCCTGGACAACAGAGCAAGTACCCTGTCTCAAAAAAAAAAAAAAAAAAAAAAAAAAAAAAAAAAAGGCAATAAACCCTACAATGGCTGGCTATGCTCACCACCATGACCACAGCAGCAACCCAAACCCAGCCCTAGTCAGTGAAGATTTAAAAACCCTTTAACGGAGGCCAGGTGTGGTAGCTCACACCTGTAATCCCAGCACTTTCGGAGGCTGAGGTGGGCGGATCACCTGAAGTGGGGAGTTCGAGACCAGCCTGACCAACATGGAGAAACCCGTCTCTACTAAAAATACAAAATTAGCCGGGCGTGGTGGCACATGCCTGTAATCCCAGCTACTCGGGAGGCTGAGGCAGGAGAATCGCTTGAATACAGGAGGCAGAGGTTGCCGTGAGCCAAGATCAAGCCACTGCACTCCAGCCTGGGCAACAAGAGCAAAACTCCGTCTCAAAAACAAACAAAACACCCTTCAATGGTCCCCCGTCACCTTCTGCAGAATACACATTCCTACTGATTCAGGCCCTGTCTACCTCCCCACACTCATTCCCACTCACGCTCCTCCACCATGTTTGCTGCAATCACAGTATTCCTGAGGTTAGTTCCCTTCTCACATATTCTAAATGCAAGGTGTGAGACAGTCAGACTTCATAACAATTGTTTAAGGACAACATTCTAAGAGCTAAAACACCACTTACCAGCTGTTAAAGAATGAGGTGTTTTTTTCTGTTATATACCTTTGATAATGTCTCTATGAACATCTTGGCTTATATGGCTTCCCACTCCCAGTTATCCTTAATTGATATGGCAATAGCAGGACCGCTACAGTAGCATTTCTGGGTCAAAGAGCATGAATGGATTCTGATACATACTGCCAAAATAGTTACACAATAACATCAACTGTAATTTGGCTACTTAATTGAAGCTCTCTATTGCCTAAGAAATGTATCTCATAGCACCTTCCTTACCCCACACATACACACTAATTGCTGAAAGAAGCCTACTAACCTGGAAACATCTAACACTGTCAGTTTAATGGACAGATTCTTGTTGTCATCACCCTATCAGTAACACCTCGTAAAGACACATACTTCATTTCCAGCACCTCCTATACTAGCAAGGGACCTACATGTCAGGCACTTCATACATTTAATACCAAGAGAAACTCCACTAGGGAGGGACTATCCTCAGTTTACACGAAAAGAAGCTGAGGCTTGGAAAGGTGAGGTGCCAAATTGAAAGTCACACGGCTAGTAAAACATGCATTCGTGTTTCAAATCTGACTCCTTCTAACCTTTCCCTAGTACCAACACCACTTCACTTCTGGCTGTTTCTACTTGCTCATTAAAGATTCTGTTGCTGCTAGGCTGGGCCTGGGGGCTAACACCTGTAATCCCAGCACTTTGGGAGGCCAAGGCGGGCAGATCACGACGTGAGGAGTTCAAGACCAGCCTGGCCAACATGGTAAAACCCCGTCTCTACTAAAAATACAAAAATTAGCTGGGCATGGTGGCACTCGCCTGTAATCCCAGCAACTGGGAGGCTGAAGCAGGAGAACTGCTTGAACCCAGGAGGCGGAGTTTGCAGTGAGCAAAGATTGCACCACTGCACTCCAGCCTGGGCAACACAGCAAGACTCCATCTCAAAAAAAAACAAAAAACAAAAAACCTGTTGCTGCTATTGGAACAAGTGACAAGCAACAGCTTAGTCAGGGTTGAAATCCTACTGTTCAGCAGCATCTCCAAGAAATCCATTTTGTCTACAAATGGAGTGTGACAATACTCCCTTTTGATGCTGTTCACTATGCAGCCCCAGAGCCCCTAACAGTTCCTGGCATAATAAATATCTGTTGAAAGCATAAACCACCTGTGTTAGGACATGAGCCAAAGAGGTTCACCTTCCCATGGAATGGTACCTGTTGCAACTTAACAGAGTCCATTGATAAAATGATTCACTCAATTTTCATTTAAGTGAAGGCTGTGCTTTTTTAAAGAGACACACAGTCTCACTCTGTTACCCAGGCTAGAGTGCAGTGGCAGGATCATAGCTCACTGCAGTCTCAAACTCCTAGCCTCAAGTGATCCTCCCACCTTAGCCTCTCAAAGTGCTGGGATTATAGGACAGAGGCACCATGCCCAGCCCGGCATGTGCTGTTTAATACAATTTTTGTTAACAAGATGACAAGGCAGTTAAGTTAAACCCAACACGGTATTCTGGAAAAAAAAAAAAGTGCTAAATCAAGGATAGAAAAAAAATAATGAATTTACACAATAAAAAAGAAAATAATTTTGACTAAAGAACCAACCAACCCAGAACTCAATGCCTAGAACAAGACAGACACACACTGAACAGCCTGGTTTCAAATCCTACCCCTATCACAGATCACCTGAAGCTCAGGAGTTTCAGACCAGCCTGGGCAACATGGGGAAACCTCGTCTCTACAAAAACAACAAAAAAAACAAAATTAGCCAGGCATGGTGGTGTGAACCTGTAGTCCCAATTCAGGAGGCTGAGGCAGGAGAATCGCTTGAGCACAGGAGGCAGAGGTTGCAGTAAGCTGAAATAACACCACTGCACTCCCGCCTGGGAGACAGAGTGAGACTGTCTCAAAACAAAAAGAAAAAAAAAAAAATGAGGCTGGACACAGTGGTTGATGCCTCTGGTCCCAGCTACTTGAGTGGCTGAGACAGAAGCAACACTCAAGCCCAGGAGTTGGAGGCCTGGCGGCTGCAGTGAGCTATCACTGCGCCACTGAACTCCAGCCTGGACAACAGAGCAAGACCCTGCCTCAAAAAAAAAAAAAAAAAAAAGGCAACAAACCCTACAATGGCTGGCTATGCTCACCACCACGACCACAGCAGCAACCCAAACCCAGCCCTAGTCAGTGAAGATTTAAAAACCCTTTAACAAAGGCCAGGTGTGGTGGCTCCCACCTGTAATCCCAGTACTTTGGGAGGCCGAGGCGAGCGGATCATCTGAGGTCAGGAGTTCGAGACCAGCCTGACCAACACGGAGAAACCCGTCTCTACTAAGAATACAAAATTAGCCGGGCATGGTGGCACATGCCTGTAATCTCAGCTACTCAGGAGGCTGAGGCAGGAGAATCTCTTGAACCCAGGAGGCGGAAGTTGCAGTGAGCCGAGATCTCGCCATTGCACTCCAGCCTGGGCAACAAGAGCGAAACTCTGTCTCAAAAAACAAACAAACAAAAAACTAACAAACACACTTCAATGGTCCCCCGTCACCTTCTGCAGAATACACATTCCTACCAATTCAGGCCCTGTCTACTTCCCCATACTCATTCCCACTCATGCTCTTCTGCATAACCTTCCTCTGGACCTCAGTTTCATCATCCACAAACTAGAAGACAGTGGCTACCTGAGAAACTGTTAATGGAGACAAATTTCCTAGTACATAACAGGCCAGGTCTCTTTTCACTTTTGTAACTGCCATGCATATAGACTACATCTATTCCTTGATATGAAACCAACAAATCAAGTTACTTTAAACACTGCACCCTTTATACAGGTTGAGTATCTCTTATCTGAAATGCTTGGGACCAGAAGTGTTTCAGATTTTAGAATATTTGTATAAACATGATCAGGTATCTTGGGGATGGGACCCAAATCTAAACATGAAATTCATTCACGTTTCCCACACATCTTATTCACATAGACTGAAGGTAATTTTATACAATATTTTAAATAATTTTGTGCATGAAACAAAGTTTTAACTGTGATCCATCACGTGAAGTCAGGTGTGAAATTTTCCACTTGTAACATTAATGTCAACACTAACGGAGTTTCAGAATTTGGAGCATTTGGATTTTTGATTTTGGGATCAGGAGTGCTCAACCTGAATAAGGAAAGACAATGTAGAGAGGTGGTATTATAAACAAGCTAGAGTTCAGTCAAGTTTCAGCACCACAAATTATTTTTGTTTATCAATCCCTATCACCCTTAAAACAGAAAGTTATAAGGAACTATCAAATATACAGGTTTGAGGAAAATAAATATCTGTTTGTTTTAAATGTTATGTTCAGTTTAATACTAGTCTTATAAAACCACAGCCCGAAGACTCATCCAGAAGGTTCTCTCACTTTTAAAAGGCAATCAAGGGATCTATACAACCTGGTGACTATAGTTAACAACAATGTATCACATAATTGAAAAATTGCTGAGAGTAGATGTTAAGTGTTCTTGTCAGAATCAGTATACCACCTAATGTGAATTAACTTGACTTAGCCATTCCACAATGTATAGTACTTCAAAACATCGCATTATACATCATAAATATAATTTTGTGTTAATAAATAATAACTAAAAATAAATAAAAGACAATCAAGTTAAATTATGAAAGGGATACCAGGCAAAAGAATGTTGTAAGTTTTCTAAAGTTCAGGTTCCCTCCCAAGGTCAAAAACTTTAACTGTGTCTACAATTCTAAATCTGAACTGGCAAGCAAATTTTCACCCAGTTAATTGGGTCGAGGAAAAATAAAATAAAATAATTCCCATGATTACACAAATGTTCTTTTATTTATATTAGTCACTGTAACAATCCTATTTATGGATTAATTTCTTTGTACCCCAAACAACTGTTTTCTTATGAAATTTTTAAAGATTTTTGTAACAAAATATAACCTTAAATTCCTAATTTTGAACTGAAAACATCTACTCCATAGCTAGAGTAACTATAAAATTGGGCCATGGCCAGGCACGGTGGCTCACGCCTGTAATCCCAGCACTTTGGGAGACCAAGGCGGGCGGATCACATGAGGTCGGGAGTTCGAGGTCAGCCTGGCCAACGTGGTGAAATTCCATCTCCATTAAAAATACAAAAATCAGCTGGGCATGGTGGCACACGCCTGGGGTCCCAGCTACTCAGGAGGCTGAGGCAGGAGAACTGCTTGAACCTGGGGGGCGGAGGTTGTAGTGAGCCAAGATTGCCCCACTAGACTCCAGTCTGGGCGACAGAGCCAGACCCTGTCTCAAAAAAAAAAAAAAGAAAGGAAAAAAAAATTGGGCCATGTTTGAGAGACAAAGCTAGAGAGTGTAGTCGTACTCCCCAAAACTTTTATATATTTACTCTGTCTTAATAAACTCAAAGGTCCTCAATGTCTTTATGGGAGATAACTGAAGGATTAAAATTAATTCAAATGTAATTAATGTTTTCACAAGACTCCTTATAATTTCCTTACAAATCCTATATATCCTACAAAATTAGGGATGGTAGTAAATTTTTTTTTTTTTTTTTTGAGATAGAGTTTCGCACTTGTTGCCCAGGCTGGCGTGCAGTGGCGCGATCTCGGCTCACTGCAACCTCCACCTCCCAGTTTCTCCTGCCTCAGCCTCCCAAGTAGCTGGAGTTACAGGTGCCCACCACCATGCCCAGCTAATTTTTTTTTTTTTTGTATTTTTAGTAGAGACAGGGTTTCACCATGTTGGCCAGACTTGGTCTCGAACTCCCAACCTCAGGTGATCCACCTGCCTCAACCTCCCAAAGTGCTGGGATTACAGGTATGAGCCACCGCACCCAGACTCTAAGATAAATTTCTAAAGCACAATTGCTTGGCCCACATTCAGTCTGAGGAATGGCAATCCAACATTCTCAATCCAAGAGAGTCTGACCAGCCATTGGGCACAAGTTCAAATCCTCCAGGAGTACTGGATGTTTTAGATTAGGACATCAGAAAGGACAAAGAAATGATCTGTTCTCAGAAGGAATCAAGATACCCCTGTAGGACACCCCAACATCCCCACCCACAAAAGCTGGTGATTATACGAAGCCCTAAGACAGTCCAGATTTCATTTCTATTGCCCAGGCCAGTAGACTCCTGATCCAGTCTATCATTACCACTCTCCAGGATCAGAAGTTAATCATGTTGTTAAACTTTCCATGATAATGTTCTGGGTTTTTTGTTGTTGTTGTTGTTTTTTGAGGTGGAGTCTCGCTCTGTCACCCAAGGCGGGAGAGGGTCTCAAACTCCTGACCCTCAGGTGATCTGCCCACCTCAGCTTCCCCCAAAGTGCTGTGATTACAGGCGTGAGCCACCATGCCAGGCCCATGATAATGTTTAAAAGCAATGAATAGGCTGGGCACGGTGGCTCACGCCTGTAATCCCAGCACTTTGAGAGGCCCAGGTGGGCAGACCACCTGAGGTCAGGAGTTCGAGACCAGCCTGACCAATATGGTGAAACCCGTCTCTACTAAAAAGATACAAAAATTACCCAGGCGTGGTGGTGAGCACCTGTAATCCCAGCTACTTGGGAGGCTGAGACAGGAGAATTGCTTGAACCTGGGAGGCAGAGGCTGCAGTGAGCCGAGATCGCGCCACTGCACTCCAGCCTGGGCATCAGAGCGAGACTCCACCTCAAAAAAAAAAAAAAAAAAAAGCAATGAATAATACATGTTTGCCCACTAAAGAACAAGTTCCACGAGGGCAGGGACCCTGTCTACTTGCTCAATACAGAAGTCCCAAGGCCCAGCAACAGACTCGGGATGAGACTGGTTGCCAAGAAATCTTTGCTTAACTCACTGCTACCAAATGACAACTTGTCTCTGTGTTACCAGTACCCAGCACGCATGGTGCCCGGGACTGCATGCACACATCTCAAGCAGTTTCTGAAGACACAGAGGAGAAACACTGCCTTAGTCATTCATGTTTGGTTACAAGATCTACTGAAATACCTGCCTCCAAACAGCAGCAGACTGTCTCTTCAGAGACTTCTGCGGTGCCAAGCCCTGGGGTTTCAAGAAGAAAGCAAAAAATGATTTCCTTTCCTTAACCAAAACACTACATTTTACTTGGGGCGCAGCAGTCTTTACTGCTGCACTCCCATCTCCTCCACCCTTCTTTTCTGGGCAGTTCATTAGCATACGACTCAATGAGGCTAACTTCTTAATCCAGTACATATTAAAAGATCTTGTCATCTTGTCAATAAGGCACTTCCCTCTCTACCTATTTCATATTGCAACCACCAAAGTCCCTACTCCTCTGCACTGTTTTTCAAAAGCACCTGCCACCGTTGAACTTGTTCGTCTGTCTCCCATAGCAGAAACAAGGACAAAGACTTCTGTTTTATTCTGCGGGAGGCCCCAGTACCTAGAACTGTGCCCAGTACATAGAAGATGCTCATGAATAAGTAAACAGATGCAAATCACTGAAAGCTACTTTTCGGTAACTGAGTAAACAAGTACTATTTTAATTATTATACTTAAAACCTTTGCACATAAAAGTGCACAGTCATTCTTTCTACCACAAATTAAACAGAAATTATCTCATCTTGTTTTTGAACAGGCTTTTCCGGATAATGCACAGCGCATTTTTAAAAGTCCCAAGGACATGAAATGAACATACATTTCGTTTTTAACAGTTAACAGGGGATACTTGTAAGAAACTTAAGGTTACACAGGAAGTGGTCAAAATCAAAAAGTAAAGATCACAAAGTGATCTTTCGTTGTTTTCATACTATAAAAACACAATGCCTCTGTTACTAAATGCAAAATGTAAAGCTCTGGCAAACAAAGTAAAGCAACCCTGTTCTCTCTTAAGAGGGCAGGGTGGAAAACCAATGACTGCCAGATGAAAACTAATTTATATCACCACAAACTATTTCTTAAAAATTTCATTAGCAGCCAAATACAAAATTATTTACTATCTACCTACTGATAAGGGTTTTCCATTACTATATGCTCAAAGACAAACCTTACAACTATAGTTTCGGGAGGCATAAATTTGCTTACCTCAGGAGGTCCCACAAAAATTCAGCTGAGGTCAGGTAACAGCAGTTTCCTGCAGAGATCAGCTACTTCCTATCACCATAGTGGTCGAAGAATCAAACGAAGTAATATCAGATTTCTACTCTGGAAGCCTAAAACACTTTTCCCTTTAAGCAAAAAAGCAAGCATTCCTTAGCTAGCAATCTCAGGCCAAACTCCCAACAAGCTCATCTCTGCTGTCTTATTCAAATATAAACCATCATGGTTTCAAGCAGTAACAGCACTCGCCTATTTCACACAGCTGACGCCTCTTAGGCCGTCAGGAATTTAAATCACCTTCTTGCCCACAAAGTATTTTTCTTCCAAAACAAACTGAAAAATATAGGCTCTTTGGCAACATTTTTGGAAGTACAACATAAACTTATCACAATAATTTTTAAACTGCAGACAACTAAAGGGAAGGAAGAAAAGCACTACTATATATACATACATATTTGAGGTCACCTCCTCCTGATGCTAGAGACTATCAACTGCTCAAAAGAAGGAAAACAAAATAAAGATTTCAGTCCCCACACTTAGCTGCGAATAGCTAACAAAGGGAATTAACATGCGGTCAATAACAAGAGGCTACTAAAAACTCTGACAGGTTAGGAAGTTTTCATTTCAGTTTCAAATTCAAATTCATACTGTAAAGTGGTGATGAACACATCCCATCCGCAGGTACTTAACCTCCATACAAATAAGAACTACCTCTCATATGGGCAAAAAGATCAAAATTCTACAGAAGAATCTGATGGCTAAATGGCTAATTTGCAAAACACAATGCCCTGTACATTTTGAGGACATCCTAAAACATGTGTAAACTTTTCAGAATTCAGTTTACCAAAGTTATCAAACTTAAAAATGATTAAAATTTATTTGCTACTGCAAAGAATTCAACCAATTTCTCCAATGACTACTCCATATTCATTTTGAAAAACAGTACCGGATTTAAAGCTTACACAACAAAATTCACAAAAGTGTTATATGTGCCTATATGACATATAGGCACAAATAACTGCAGACATTCTGAAGCTAACACTGCTCAACCAGGAAAAAAAAAAGACTGCAATTGGATATGTAATAACAGCTATTTAAGACGGCAGTAACGTGTTAAAATGGTTCATAAAAATCACATCATAAGGCCCTGAAATTCTAGTAAAAATATCTCTAAGTAAACTTGTGAACTACTACTAAATAACTAATTTTCTCTCTCTCTGTAGTCACTCATTTTATCTTTGGATTACTTTCCCATTCTATCACCACGTTGCTTTCTCTGAACTTCATTTTACATTTGCATATTATTTATTCCATTAGCAATTGCTCATCCCAGTCTGAATCTCAAAATTCTACTATAGGAGGCATTTGGCATTCTGTGGAATAAGAGAATTTTGAGATGGAAATGATCAACCAGCTCAAAACCTCGTAAGCTAGAGTTCAGTTAAGCTTAGCACAATGATGAAAACAATTTCTCATTAAAACTTCTTTCATTCCCTCTACAGAAGCAGTAACCCTGGGTACAGTTAAAACTGCCTGGGTCTTTAAGCTTTGTCACCTCGGACAAGTCATTATACCTAACCTCCCAGGGCCTCAGCTTCCAGAGTAGTTAAATGGAAAAACAATAGCATCTATCTCAGGTTATTAGATTATGAAATGAGTTAACACACGCAAACAGGCTGAAAGAGTCCCTGGTGCGCAGTGCAGGTATTAGTCATTTAGAGGTATAGTTACTATTACAGGAAGGTAGTAACTTAGAAAGACTTACCTTTAAGGTCCAACAACCTAATCTACATATTTGTATATTTCTAAGGTAAGAGAATTTTTAAAAGTCTATTTTCACCCCGTAAACCTAATGCAGGAGGATAAGGCACGGGTTACTACAGGAAAAAGTAATGCAGACTGGGGGATGCGAACCAAAGCACAGACGAATGTGCCCCGACGATTCCTCCGAGAACATAATGAAATGGCGGACCTTCCTGCCAGAGGAGCGCACAGTCACCCAGGCAGGTGATGTGACACACACGTTAGGGTCTAAAGGTCCCAAGGCTGGAGTCCCCTTTACTGGACCCTAAACATGTCTGCCTCCTGCCCCGCAATCAGACTTAGAGAACTGTGGACGGTGGAAAGTCTTATCATGACCAGGCCATCCTTCGCTGGGGTGAACGGAAAGCATTCAGAAGGGGAAAATTGAAAACAACAAAGACTCTGGTCAGGTCAAAAAATACAAATGTGACCTCTTCCACCATCTCTGAACTGAAAGAAAAGCATGGCACTTTCCCATCCATAACATGTACAATTTTTTTTTTTGGAGATTTTGCTTTTCCCTTGTGAAAGACGGTTTTAAATAGTAAACAGACTTGCTGCCCACCTTGGCTGGGAAACCAAGTCCCGTGAGTAACTAGTCTAAGGCCACTCAGGCCAGTCCTCGGGGAGCGCACGCCGCCCAGCTCGCTCCCACCGCACAGCTCCCAACAGCTAAGAAGCAACGCCAAGGACTTTCTTCCCCGTCAGACATGCCCTCGGCCACACCAAACTGACATCAAAACCCCAGTTAGCCCAGCCTGACCCCACAGAGGCTCACGATGACAACCGCCCTACGGAAAAACTCAAATTCCTAAACATCTAATAAAGAAGTCCTGGACGTCTCCACCTTAAAAACGGGAAGCCTGAACGCTCCGGCGCGCCCGGCCGTGTAACCGCCACAGCCCCCGCACGCGGGGCGGGCTGGGCTAGCGGGAGATTTGAGCGGCCGCCGCCTCTCGCCGTCTTCGCCTCCTCCAAGGGGCCGCCGCCCAGGAGGCCGCCCGCGGCGCAGAACAAAGCGCCTTGACCTTCAGTGAGGCGGGCAGCCGGGCGAGGCGCGCCGGGAGTTGGGAGGGGCCTCCCGCCAGCGCCCCAGGCCCGGGCTCCAGGGCCCAAGCCCCAGGCCCCGCCGCGGCCGCCGCTGCCTGCCCCGACCAGAACGCGGCCCCGCCCCTGCCCCACCGCCCCGAGGCTTCCAGAGATGGCCGCCGCCGCGCCCGCGCCGGACCCGCGGCCCCACCCGCCCGTCCGGGCCCGGCCGCCCTCCCCAGCGCGCCGTTACCGGCCCAGCACCCGTGTCTCCGCACCTCACGCCTCCTGCGGCAGTGGCGGCGACCCTAGCTTCGCTCGCTTTGGGGCTGCGCCGCCGTGGCCTCCAACAACGCCGGCTCCCATTGGCCGAGGCTCCTAGCTCCTCTCTCCGCGAGCAAGACAGGCTGCGATTCGCCGAGCGCGGCGCAAGTCAACTGCGCTTCGCGCCGCAGTCAGCAACCAATCACAAGCCTCCGAAGAAACGCCGCGCCATATGCAAATATTCCTCCGCGCGGCGCGCGCCCTGCGTTCCTCCGCCTCTTTAAATGGGGCGGGGCAAGGTGGAGACCGCGTGTGTGGTTCCGGGGGGTCCCGGGTCCCCGCTCCCGGGACCTTCCCCGGGTGGCACCACATCCCTCGCGGGACACTGGGCACCACCCCTCTCCGTGGGCCCCGGCCCCAGCCGTCTTTATCTCCTGCGCCCTCCCAGTTCCCTAGTTCAATCCCGTCCGCGGCGGGTCGGTGCCTCCAGCACTCCGTGCGCCCGCTGATGTGAGAACCCCACCTCCTATGTCGTCCCCTCGCGCTACTCCTTGAGAACATCGCGGAGGGCCCCTCCGCCTGGGAGCCGTTTTCAACCAGCCCCGTTAGTGGTTGGGACGTAAGCCTAACCCCCGCTCATCCCCCAGGTCCCAGGTTGGAGAACACTTCCTCTGCGAAGAGGTCGGGGCTGGGTCACCTCCGCGGACAGGACGGGACTAGCCACTGCCTGCATCTCTTCCCCCACGCCCTGAGCCCCGCAGTGTCCCAGCAGCCTAGTTCTGGCCTGCGGGAGACCCTGTCGGACAAGGAGGAAAAGCAGTGCGCACTGGGCCCTCAGATCAGCCCCCTGAAGCAGAGCAGGGCAGAGGGCTGGGGAGGAGCTGGCCTGTTTCGCCCGCCCTGTTCTCCCTCTCATGGTGCCCTCTGGGCTGGGGTGAAGGTACCAGCCCCAGCCTGTGCACATCACATTTTGTAGAAAGGCATCCAATTTGATTGGAAAATAACCCCTACGCTGGGACTTTTGAGGCTGGTTCATTTCCATGTTCAACCGTGCCATTGGGGGTCTTCAAGTCTAATGTGCATTTTTTTCAGAAACGTTCTCTTTTGGGATGACGTTACTTTTGAAACAATTGCTAATTATTATTATTATTAGCAAGTTATTCCTGTAATGGGGAAAATTTGAAACCATTTAAAGGCTCCTGGTTGAGGGATTAAGAACATAGCGTCGGTTATAAACAAGCTGGGAGGCTGAGGCAGGAGGATTCCTTGAGCCCAGAAATTCAAGTCCAGCCTGGGCAACATAGTGAAACCTCATCTCTAAAAAGAAATTAATGCGGAGCGCCGTGGCTCAGGCCTGTAAACCCAGCACTCTGGGAGGCAGAGGCAACAAGTCCAGCCTGGGCAACATAGAGCACCCTTCCCCTGCTCCAAAAACAACAACAACAAAAAATTACCCAGGCGTGGTGGCTCAGGCCCGTAATACCAGCTACTTGGGAGGCTGAGGTGGGAGAATTACCTGAGCCCGTGAGGTCAAGGCTGCAGTGAGCAGAGATTGGGCCACTGCACTCCAGCCTGGGTAACCAGAGGGGGACATTGTCTCAAAAAGACAAAAAAAAGGCCGGGCGCGGTGGCTCAAGCCTGTAATCCCAGCACTTTGGGAGGCCGAGGTGGGCCGATCACGATGTCAGGAGATCGAGACCATCCTGGCTAACACGGTGAAACCCCGTCTCTACTAAAAATACAAAAAAATTAGCCGTGCATTGTGGCGGACGCCCTAGTCCCAGCTACTCGGGAGGCTGAGGCAGGAGAATGGCGTGAACCCGGGAGGCGGAGCTTACAGTGTGAGCCGAGATCGCACCACTGCACTCCAGCCTGGGCGACAGAGCGAGACTCCATCTCAAAAAAAAAAAAAAAAAAAAAAACTAATTAAAACAAAAAACATAAAAACCCCTCAGAGGTGACCGGTGCATGGCTGAGGCCTGACCCACACAGCGTGCTCAGTCCTGTCTGGCCATCTGTGTTTTAGGAGAGGGTGTGTGTGCTCTCAATTCCTATTTTACTTATTTAGACTTTCAGACTTTTCTACAAAGGTCATGCTTTATGCTTTGCGGAAGCATAAACAATGATAGAAATGACACAAGAACCTGGGCATTTGAAGTTTGGAGGGTCCTTCCTCCCATCTAATAAAGTCTCAAGACCATTTGCAGTAATGGGATCCCCCTGCTCCTGGATGTTGGGGTTGGTGGGGGTGGCATCCGGGTGGGTGGATCCTCTGAGGGAGCTGGGCCTTGGGGCTGGGGGCAGCTGGACCTGCTCCCTGGGAGATCTGCTGGAACTGGAATGATTGTGGTGGTGGTGTTTTTCTCTTGGTGGTTGGTGGTTTCTCTCCTTGGAAGATTCTCATTTGGAAATAGAGTCTTCACAGATGCAATTAGGTAATGAGGTCGAGTGGGCAGATTGCTTGAGCCCAAGAGTTCGAGACCAGCCTGGGCAACATGATGAGATCCCATCTCTACCAAATATCTAAAAATTAGCTAGGCATGGTGGTGCATCTATAGTCCCAGCTGCTTGAGAGGCTGAGGTGGGAGGATCACTTGTGCCTGGGATTTAGAGGCTGCAGTGAGCTGTGATCATGCCACTGCACTCCAGCCTGGGTGACAGAGCAAGACCAAGACCCTGTGTCAAAACAAAGAAGTCCCCAGATGACACTGACATGCAGCCAGAGCTGAGGGCCACTGGGATCAGGACTCCCAGGGTAGCTGGCGCTTGGTGAGTTTCATTCCTGTTTTCCCAGCGCTGCCTCTGCCAGGCCTCAGGCATGAGCCCACCTGTCTACAACCCCTCTGCTGCCTCAGCCTCCTCCAACCTGGAGATCAGGAGTCCCCTCCAGAGGCTACCTTGCCTGTAGTTCTGCTCTTGGCTGCCTTGTCCTCACTGAGGCTCCGGGAGACAGTCCCGGACAGACACCACGTGTTTCTTCTTCACATTGCCAGCACCCGGAAAAGTGCCTGGCACTTGGCGAGCTGTGCCCTTACCTGGGCGCTACTGACAATGGCTACACCTTGGCCTGGAAGTAGAGGCAGCAATCACTGCCCCATTCAACAGAGGAGAAAACAGAGAAACCCCTCTAACGCCCCCAGCTAAGTGGCTCTGGCCCTGGAGGGGGCGGCCATGCCCTTCACCTGTGGTGGGGGCGCTACTCCTCAAAAGACCTCGCAGCCGCCAAGAGCTGGAGCCGAGGCCTCAGAAATGCCCAAAGCCCCCTCAGTAGGCTGGGGGCTCAGCCTGTGGGGCATTAACAAAGTGGGGCCCTGGAGACATCCAAGAGAGGTGGCTGGTTTCTCCTGGTATATGGAGAACAGAAAACACCCATGGCGTACTCCACACAAGAGGGGTGCGCAGACAGGGAGTGCCTTTGCAAGCTTCCCGGCCTCAGAAAGAAGGCATCTGGAAGACTGTACCCCAAATGTTGTAGGGATTTGAGAGGTAGGGCACGGGGTCTTTCAGTTTCTACTTTATATTGGAAGTTTTCCGTATTATTTATTTTTAAATAATGAATACATGACGTTTTTATAGTAAAGACACCAAAGATTGCTCTTTGGGGAAAAACAGGAAGATGTAAATCTGGCTCTTACAGCTGAACAGAGCTTTCATGTACAGAAAAGAAACACTTTCCACAGGCAAACTAATATTATACAAGAAAAGTGTCCACCCCACGTTGTTCCAGAAGGATCTGCTGCAGCCTGACAGCAAGAGATTGCAGGGTAGGGAGGTGCTGGGGTCCTCTTGGGGGCCAAGCCAATGGCCTGGGCCCAGCCAGCCTATTGTCACTGCAGGCCCTCGGACCCAGCCTGGGGAGACTGGAGGAAGTCAGGGAAGGGCAGAGAGAAGGCGCACCAGGCAGTGGGCCCTCAGAACGGGGAAACTCCAGGCAGAAAAGCGGCCCAGAATCACTCTGAATTGGGGGGCGTGAAACAGGGGCCACAGCCTGGCCCTACTGCAGTCCAGGTGGAGCCAGGCCTTCACCAGCTGTGGGGACCAGGCGTGCCCCTGGCAATCTGGATACGTTTTTGTGCAGCCACCACTGGAAATGGGGCACACGCCACTCCTTCTTGCCTCCTTGGATGGCACCGCGGCTTTGGGCCAACCTCCGCTCACCCCAGTGGTGGCAGCTAAAGACAAGGGTATTTCCTCATGGCCCAGTTGTCAGGATATTTGATACATGGTTTCCAGCACAGGCCAGTAAAGAGGATACACTGTGGAAGGGATTGCTGCTGCTGCAGTGCCGGCTGCACTTCATCAGTTTCCTTGGCTAAAGGATACTGAGTTACAGGTTTCAGGCTACTTTGTATCTCATTAAAGACACCTCTCCATGCAGCCGCCATTATCACACTAACAAAATTAGCAAAAATCTTGACTGTCATCCAATACCTGGTCATTCAAATTTCTTGAAATTTTTTTTTTTTTTTTTTTTTGAGACGGAGTTTCGCTCTTGTTGCCCAGGCTGGAGTGCAATGGCGCGATCTCGGCTCACCGCAACCTCCACCTCCCGGGTTCGAGCGATTCTCCCGCCTCAGCCTCCGGAGTAGCTGGCATGTGCCACCATGCCCAACTAATTTTTTTGTATTTTTAGTAGAGACAGGGTTTCTCCATGTTGGTCAAGCTAGTCTTGAACTCTCCACCTCAGGTGATCCGCCTGCCTCAGCCTCCCAAAGTGCTGGGATTACAGGCATGAGCCACTGTGCCCGACCCCCTTTGAAATGTCTTTACAGCAGGTTTGTTCAAATCCTTCAAAGATTATCCCTCAAACCTGGTGGTTTTGTTTCTCGAGTCTCTCCCAGTCCTTCTCTTCTGCCCTATTCTGCTCCCTTTGACGCAGACGTATTGAAGATGCCAGCCGGGCATCTGGCAGAATGCCCCACCTTCTGCACAAATGTGGTGGCTGCTTCATGGCCTCACCTGCATTCTCCCTCTGTTCCCAGTATTTCCTGCAGACAGGAAGTGAGCTGGACAGCCTTGCTCCTGAGGGGGCTGTAGCCCGGCAGCACAGGCCACAGCTGGGAGACTGCAGGAATGCAGAATCTTGGGCTCCTCCTAGACCTGAACTGAAATTTGTGTTAACAAGCAACCCTGGGCAGTTTATACGCACATTCAAGGTTAAGGAGCCCTAGCCTAAAAGCTGCATTCAATACTGACTTATACTTTTAGAGGAAATCCTTCTTTTTGTTGGGGGGCTGACAGCCAGGGCCCAACATCAGAAAGTAACACGTATCCCCTCCTGGAAACCTACAAGTTACTCACAAGGTGACACTTTGGCATCAAATTATCCAGCACCTACCAGCTTTCATCCAGGGGTCTCAGCATCCGCGGTCAGCCCCTGCCTGAATCAATGACTTCATTCGGGGTTGCAGAATGGAGATGTCTGATCCTGGTGCTTCTTCCCTTAGCTGGCATCTTTGGGGGAAAGAACAACTTTCCCCTTTCAGCTAGGGCCATTTGGTGGCCCTGAAATATACTTCCCATGCAAGGTAAAATACTTGCTTCTGTCACTAATGAGTAACTCTACAGAAAGGAGCTGACACAGGCCACCTCCAGTAACGACAATATGTTTTAGCTTTCTCTAGTTTTGAGAATAAATACAGATGCCTGGGGTTTTTTTTTGTTTGTTTGTTTGTTTTTGTTTTTTGTTTTGAGACAGAGTCTTGCTCTGCCATCCAGACTGGAGTGCAGTGGTATGATTGCAGCTCACTTGCAGCCTCCACCTCCCATGCTCAGGCAATCCTTCAACCTCAGCCTCCTGAGTAGCTGGGATCACAAGTGCGCCACTACACCGGCTAATTTTTTTGACTTTTAGTAGAGACAGGGTCTCGCTATGTTGCCCTGGCTGGAATCATTCTTTTCAATGCTCAAATTGTCCCAAACTTAGCCAGTAGGAGCTCCTGAAGCCTTAAAGTAATTATAGGTTTCCAGAAAACTGCACAGTTTGTTTCCTGATGGTCACACCTTGCCTGGCCAGAGTTCAAGATCAACACAGGAGACTGACATTGGTACAATGTGTGTGACTCTACGTTGTGCTATCACATATGCAGATTTGTGTGATCACCATGGAAACAAGAACACAGAAGTGCCCTCCCCACCAACCCCACCTCCTACTGTCCCTGTGCAGTCACTCCCCTCCACCTGCCCCCCCCCCCCACCATCTTTAACCCCAGCTACCACCATCTGTTCTCTATTCCTACTTGAGAATGTTATCTACGTGGAATCACATGGCATGCAACCTTTCAGGGGTGGCTTTTCCAAACCCAGCAGAATGCCCCTGACACATACCACCCAGCTGCTATGTGTCACTACCTTGTCCAGTGTCCTCCTGACCTGACTTCTTGGTGTTCGAAAGCTCCCCTTTTGGGGCACAAGAGTGCCTGGGCTCAGCTACTCCTGCTGCTGCAGACCTGGAACTGGCCATTTCTCCAGGGGGTGGGATGGGGTTTAGAGCCCCAGATCGGGGCTGGGGCTGCTCAGTGCCACCAGGGCTGCCTTGCTTCTCCACCCTTCCCATCTACACAGTCAGGAAACAATCTACTTTTTAAAATCACAAGTTACTTCATATTGTTTTTTCTAATTCGTATTTAATAGTAAAGTGATTTTCCTTGACTTCTTTGATATTTTATCGTCTTACATTAAAAACTTGATTGCTAGGCTGGGCGCAGTGGCTCACACCTGTAATCCCAGCACTTTGGGAGGCTGAGGCGGGCGGATCACTTGAGGTCAGGAGTTCAAGACCAGCCTGGCCAATATGGTGAAACCCCATCTCTACTAAAAATACAAAAATTAGCTGGGCATGGTGGCGCGTGTCTGTGATCCCAACTACTTGGGAGGCTGAGGCAGAAGAATAGCTTGAACCCGGGAGGCGGAGGTTGCAGTGAGCTAAGATTGCTTCCCTGCACTCCAGCCTGGGTGTCAGTGATCTTATTTGTGTTGGCATACAGGGTTTGAAAATTATAATGCCAATGTTATTACTAACAACAAAACTATTGAATTGACTTTTCTGTACTTTCTTTGACCTTAGAAGATACCCCATTAAAGATGTGTAGCAAAAAATGGCTAATTCTCAGAAAGTTGAAGTTCTTTTCTTGAGGTTGCCAATTTGATTTATGTTTTTGTGCCAGATGGTACTTTCTGAAATAGCTGCAGTAGTATTTCCCATCCCTTCTGGAACCCAGTAATGCCCACCACAGGGTAGTGTCTATGCCTCCCCCTCCGCATGAACGTGGGTGGGCCTTGTGACGGCCTCCGCTAGGGAGGACAGTGGAAGTCAGGACATGACCTCCGAGGTTAGATCCTAAAAGGCCATATAGCTCCTGTCTCTCTCTCTCTCAGGACTCGCACCTTTGGAGCTATAGGCTGTTGCAACAGAAATCAGCCACCGTGAAGCCGCCAAGCTGGAGAGATCACACACAGGTCTCACAGAGGTAAAAGGTGCCCAAGCAGCCCTAGTGTGGGACCCAGGCACAAACTTAGAGATGACCCCATCTGCCTGCAACTGAAAACCAATCAACTGAGCCCAGTCAATCCAGAGCCATGAGTTATTAACATGATCATTGTTGTTTTCAGCCATGAAGTTTTGGGGTGATTTGTTAAGTGGCAACAGATAACTGGAACATGTTTGTTTTACTTTGTTTGGGGGACTTTTCTTTCTTGCTGGTTTAAATTTTTTTATATATAAAATACTGACAAGGTTCAAAGTCAGGCCTATCAATACCCAGAGACTGTCCTCATTGATTTATAACCTTAGTGCTCCCTGCATAATTGGGTGGGTGCTCTCAAGCTGTGCCAAGCACCCTGCTGATGCACAGACAGGCTGGTTCCAGCCTTTTGCTGTGTCACACACTACTGCAGTAAACAGCATGCGCATGCAGAGGGCAAGGACAAAGAATTGGCGCACCCACAACCCAACACTGCCACACTCCCCATGCTGAGGCTGCTGCCACCATCCACATGCACTGGATGGAGTGTCCCCCCCTGGATGTCCACAGCACCAATGACTGTCTTTTGTCCCGATGGATATGGCCTGGCACCAGCTTCCGCAGGCATGAAGCAGGCTGTGGTTTCTGCTTACGCCCTCCTCAGCCAAGGATGGGTAAGCACCTTCGCGTCTGGGTGGTGATTCTTAGTCCAGGTGAACCAGGTGTGGAGGCAGGGTGGCAAGGACAACACTGGGCACTGGGGACAAGAAGGCCCCTGCTGTGTTGAGACCACCCCCACAACTCACTCATTAGCCATGCAGATCCTGGACTTGCTGTCTCCAGCGGCAGTTCTGGGCAGCTCGCCAGGGGCCTGCCTGCTGAGCCACTCGCTGTGCTGCTGCCCAGTATGGAACGGCTCTAGGAAAACCTGCAGTGTGTTTATTCATCAGAACCCGAGGGCAGACTGAGCGGCCTTTGTCTAGGGCTCAGCAGGCTCTGCCAGTCTGAGCCTGTCTTTTTCCTACTCAAATACCTCCCAATGTGCCCACACACCAGAGATTAGCCGATAGCCATCAGCATGGGGGAGAAATTCCTCGGCCAGCTGAAGCAGCTCAACTGACCCAAGCACCTAAGTTGTGACCTGCTGACCAAGCGGCCCTGGCTGGCCACCAGGCCTCCTGCCAAGTGCTGAACATGCAGAACAAGACAGAGAGGGTCTCACTGTTGAGAAAAATTTATTATCAATGTCTCAGAGCCAACGACGACACGAACCTACATGAACACAACTCTTAATTTAGGACCCAAGGGTGACTGTAAACATGATAGGAGCGCTGGGACATTGTCACTGAGGCAGACAGCAGCCACTAGTCCACAATGGTTTAAAAAGTCAGTCCTGTGCCCCCTCACTGGAAGCTTCCATTCTGGGCCATCTGCAGATATTCCTTGTAGAGCTTCTCCTGAGCCTCGAAGAGCTTCTTCAGCTTCTTGGCTTGCCCTTTGCTGAGCTCTTTGCCCTCCATGTCATGTGTGGGCAGACCCTGAAAACCCAGAGCACAGCGGCTATTGGTCTCCTCTGCACCTGGGTAACCCCAACTCCCCTTTCTTTGCCCTCCCGTCTCAAAGTGTCTATCTCCCTGATGCAGCCATGTCCTCTTGCTTGGACATTCAGTCACCACACTGCTCTGGAGCCAGCACACTCATCTGGCAGTGCTGGCTCCAGCAGCTAAGAATGGGAGAGGGGCGACCAGAGTCTGGGGGTGCTTCCTGCCTAAGGTGAGGGGCACTGTGCCCCTCAGAGCCTACCCATGGCTGAGTTCTGACACAGCTGGCCCAAAGGTACATAGCAAACACATCCAAATGCCAGCAGGGAGGGGCCTAGAGGTTTGGAGGCAGTGGCTGTGAATCGCTATGACAAAGGAAGAAACTGGGGGTAGGAGGCCTATCTGCGCCACGGCACTTCAGCCAGCTTGTGAGGGCCTGGGTGGATCTTGGCCCGGGGCCACAACTCCCAGGGCTAGGGACCAGAGCTCACCACACCAGTGGAGGGGGCCCTGGCACGGGCTTGCCTAGCTGCCTGGGCTGTGGAAGGAGCTCAGTAGTTGGGCCAGGAGGCCCTGGACCTAAAGCGGGTGTCAGATTTGATTCCAAATTTTCTACAGACAGAAAATCTGCTTGTCCAAGGTTGAAAATTCCTGTCCTCCCACTTTAATGTGGTCTGATCAAGTTCTGAATAGAAGAGAAGGATGCTTACATGCTTACATTTTCATCAAACTTGGAGTATTTGTCGGTTTCTGACAAGAACATCTCACTGGGGGGAATCTTCATCTTGGCCAGCTTTGCTGCCTAGAACACGCAACACGGCACAGTCACTGCCCCCGAGCAGCACCTGGGGCTCCGCACTGTGAACGACATCTGCTCATACCTCCAGCCCTCAACTTGCTTCCAAGCCCTCAGATTCAGAGTGCTATGAAAGATGGGAAGGGGAAAGCCAAGGTGGAGGGAACATACAAGGAATTTAAAATTAAACCAGATGTTATTTCTACAGGAATAGTGGAAAGCTTACTAGAAAACCTAATAGTAGTAAGTCTATAAACGCTGTCTTGGAGCTTGTGACCACATGGCACAGCCTTCCCCTTGGCCAGGCCTTCCCTGCACCCCATGTGAGAAGGGCCTGGCAGGCCTTGGGTGGTGGAGGCAGAAAGCGGAGCTCCTTCTGTGAGGGTCTGCAGGGGCCTGGCTAAGGTCCACGGAGGCACAGAGAGCCACAGGGCATGGGGTCAGGGTGCACTCCTGCCCAGTAGAGCCCTCACCCCCAAACAAAATGCATTACTTCTTGTTCCTGTTTCCTCCGGGCCGCCTCCTCTTTCTTCTTCCTCTTCTCCTCTTCAACCTGGAGGGTCAATACAGAGCCAGATGAGACAGGGCTGCCTCAGGCTGCTGGGTCTCTCGGAGTGAGAGGTCTAGCCAAACAAGCCCCTCTCCTAGGGCCTGGCATGGAGGGCTGAACTCTGACCAGGCCCTCCCCACTGTGGGGAGACAAGCCCATGTGCCGGGCAGCACACCGACCCTCTTCCATTCCCTTTGGGGATCCTCAGCGGCACCCCTGGGTGCCTGGCCCTGCCCTAGATGCAAAGGTATGCAGCAGGCAGACAAACAGAACCAATGCTAAAAGATCCAGGCACCACTAACATGAAGAAAGGGACCAGCATGGTGAGCCTGGCCCAAGGAGAGAGGATCTGTAAGGCAATGACCAGGACAGCACTGTGAGGGTTATCCTGAGTGGGTCTTGGGGTACCTGGGAAGGAGCAAGAGCGCCAGGGCAGGATGGGGATGGTGGGCGGAGGGCAGCCTTGGGGGCTAGGTGAGGAGACCAGAGCCCACTCCAACCAGCAGGCAGCACCCGGGCAGGGGCGAGGACAGTCTGATGCTGCAGGGAGAGCTTATTAGTGGAGCCAGCAGGCTGGGTGCCGGTGAGGGAAGCCCTCGGTTGCTTTGAGGTTCTGGCCTGAGCCATTGCACAAACAGACATGCCCTCCACTGACGGAAAAGGAGCAAGTTTGGGGAGTTGAAAATCACATTTTCACCTTTCCTTTGGACAGCCTAGGTTTCAGATGCTTCCCAGCCCAGTGGAGCTATCAGGTAGGCACGCCCTCCATGGCAGGAAGGAGGAACAAGTTTGGGGAGTTGAAAATCACATTTACTTTGGACAGCCTAGATATCAGAGGCTTCCTGGCCCAGTGGAGCTATCAGGTAGGCAGCTGGGCAAACTGTTTTTGGGCCACCGGGTACAAGATAGATGGTGGAGAAGCCGCAGGACCAGATAAGGTCTCCTGGGGAGGCGCCACACACAGAGCTAGGGAAAAGAAACCAGGAAGGCACAAAGGTCTCAGAGACTCAGGATGGGGCTGGGGCCAACAGGATCGAGCTCTTTCGAGATAGATGGAGGGAGAGCAGGGCTGGCCGAGGGAAAGGGGCTGAGGTGGGGGAGGAGCTGGGCACTGAGCTTGGAGGAACCAGAGACACAGTGCTCAGGATTTCTGCTTTTTCCCTTTAAAAGTTAGTATGTGTTTATGTGCTGGTGGGAATGGTACAGGGAGAGGCAGGACCCCTCCCCCATGGTGCCTCGGGCCTGGGGATGCCTTCTTGCAGCAGCTTGGTGAGGTAAGAGTCCCTTGGTTGGGAAACAGGAGCTACTAGAAGTCACAGGCCACAGCCAAGGTGGCCAGTGGAAAGGCCAGCACAAAGAGTGCAAGGCCTGTGAGGCTCTGGCCGGGCCACCCTGGCGCTCCTCTTGTCTGTTTCCTGCTTCTGAGCACTCTGCCAGGGAGTGCAGCAAGCCAGGGCGTCTGCACAGCCAGCACCAGGCCACCTCACAGCACAGCACGGCAGGCGAGACCCAAGGCTAGGTGAGTGACTGTGATGGAATGGGGAGGGGCCCTGATGAGGCAGTCACACCAGCCAACCTCACAGGGCAAGCCCAGCTCTTCCCAACCTGCCAACCAGGATGGACCTGCAGACCACTCACCACTGTCTAGAGCTTTCCCCAGAGTTCCAGTTCGTTATTCCTCCAAAGCACTGCAAACTCCAGCCACCCACACTTGGATCTGGCATGAGCTCTCCCCTCGTGCCTTGGGCCAGTGCAGGGCTAGGCATAGATGCCTTCCCTGACCTTGTACATCCCATCTATCAATCAACCACCCTGTCGATTCTCCTTCCTCAGTTCCTCCCAGAGCCTCCTTCCTGAGAGCTGTGGCATCCAAACTCGCCCTCCACGGTGGTCTCCTGCTTTAAGCCTCTTGGGGACCCACCTGCTGGTGGCAACAGCCCCCATGGCCCACCTCCCATGGTGTGCACTGGGGGCCCAGGTGCCTCTCATCCTGCTGCCTGCATCCCAGGGTACCCCATGCGCTGTGCCCAGAGATTCTGACATTGCGTTTTTGTTCCTGTTCTTCTGTCCTATTGGGCACCGAGGAACTTGGGCCATCCCTGATCCTGGGGGCGTTGTGGGGTGCAGGTGGGGAGTATGCTGGGAATAGGAGGTGGAGATGCATCAGTGACACGCGCCACCCAGGTGAGGGCACGGTGGGACTGGGATCTTAACATGTCAGCTTCGGGCCAGGCGTGGTGGCTCAAGCCTGTAATCCCAGCACTTTGGGAGGCCAAGGTGGGTGGATCACGAGGTCAGGAGATTGAGACCAGCCTGACCAACATGGTGAAACCCCATCTCTACTAAAAAAATACAAAAATTAGCTGGGCACAGTGGTGCGTGCCTGTAGTCCCAGCTACTTGGGAGGCTGAGGCAGGAGAATCCCTTGAACCAGGGAAGTGGAGGTTGCAGTGAGCCAAGATCGTGCCACTGCACTCCAGTCTGAGCAACAGAGTGAGACTCCGTCTCAAAAAAAAAAAAAAAAAAAAAGTCAGCTTCACAGTTTGCCAAAAGTGACTGGTTTTCACTTAAACTGAGGGAATAATCTTTTTAAAAGAGGTCCTTCATTAGAAGATACTAGTTAATTTTTCTTTCTGACATTTATAAATACTGGGATTTTAATAAAAGTGTAAACATCAATGCTTAAAAAGTAAACTATGTAATAATCGCAATGGTTTTTACATTTTCAACAAATATCACACTTAAGTCATTTTCACTTTACTCACCCGTCTCTTTTCTTCTCTCTCTTTTAATAAGGTGTTTCTGTCTACCAGTTTCACCACTGTGGGCAGTCCTGCAAAATAAACTGCGTGTGAGAAGAGGCTGGGCTCTGTGGGCCGTCCCCACTGCGGGGCCAGCCCTGCCCTGCCCTGCCCTGCCCAGACCATGCGGTGCTGCCCAGTCAGAGCGAGGGCCCACAGGAGAAAAACAAACAAAAACCTCCATAGCAGCAGTGAAGCACAGGAGAACATTTTGGTTTGTGTGTGTGTGATTTTTTTTTTTTTTTTTTGAGACAGAGTCTTGCTCTGTCATCCAGGCTGGAGTGCAGTGGCACGATCTCAGCTCACTGCAACCTTTGCCTATCGGGTTCAAGCAATTCTCGTGTCTCAGCTGCCCAAGGAGCCCACACCCAGCTAATGTTTTGTATTTTAGTGGAGACGGGGTTTCACCATGTTGCCTAGGCTGGTCTCGAACTCCTGAGCTCAGGTAATCCACCCACCTCAGCCTCCCAAAGTGCTAGGATACAGGTATGAGCCACCACACCTGGCGAGAACATTTTGTAACGAGAAGGTAGGAAGGTCTTGCCAGCCAGGAGTAGGAAAATAGGACATGACATCTGAGATTTAAAATTACCAGGGGCAGAGTGGAAGAGTGGAATTGGAGGGTTCGTAACACAAAGAAATGATAAATGCTTGAGGTGATGGACATCTCAGTTACCTAGATTTGATCATAGTACCTCATACGCATGTATCCAAATATCACACATAGCCCATAAATATGTACAACTATTATGTATCCATAAAAACTGAAACTAAGGCTGGGCATGTGGCTCATGCCACTTTAGGAGGCCGAGGTGGGCAGATTACTTGAGGTCAGGAGTTCGACACTAGCCTGGTCAACACAGTGAAACCCCGTCTCTACTAAAGATACAAAAATTAGCCGAGCGTGGTGATGGGCGTCTGTAATCCCAGCTACTCGGGAGGCTGAGGCAGGAGAATCGCTTGAACCCGGGAGGCAGAGGTTGCAATGAGCCGAGATCGCGCCACTGTACTCCGGCCTGGGCGACAGAGCGAAACTCTGTCTCAATAAACAAATAAATAAAAATTGAAAATAAAAAACAAAAAAATTAACTTTCTGTGGAACAAAAAGACCTCCACGAAGTGGGAGAACAAGCATGCAATCTGTTGACAGTGTACAGGATACAGGCTGGTTCCTCAGCTGAGAGCTTCAAAGGCGGTAGCAACAGGGGCAGCGGGCAGCCAGGCCCCTAGGGGAGATGATGCGCAGGGGAGGTGACGCCACCACACGCAGCAGTGGGAAGGAGCTACGGGGTGCTCCCCTGCCCCTGCCAGGCTGGCCAGCGTGGGAATGGCGCCGGGGGACCCATGGGGCTGCCACTTTGGGATTCTGCATCAGCAATCATGAAGCATGAGCCTCAGCCCAGCCCCGGGAGCTCTCCTTGTGACACCTCTCCAAGCTCCTGGTAACTTTGTAGCAAACAGCAAGGGCTCACCCACCTTCGTGGTCTTCAAACCGCACCCCAAGCTCAGGCAGGATGTTGTCCCGCAGGGCATCGCTGAGCTGCAGAATCTCAGGGACTGTAGGAGAAGCAGAGCAGTTCCCTCAGACATGGAGGAGCCAGGGCCCACACAACCAGTGCCTCCTCCAGTGCTGGGGAGGGAGGGGCCGTGGCCCACAGAACAAGTGCCTCCTCCAGTGCTCAGGAGGGAGGGGCCCCGGCCCACAGAACGAGTACCTCCTCCAGTGCTTGGGAGGGAGGGCCCAGCAGCTTGATTGGCTGCAGAAGCCCAGAGACTAGTGTCTCCCGTAAGCCCAGGGGCTGTTCTGGGGGTGCAGGGCAGAGCCAGGAGGAAGCATAGCACACTGGCCGCCGGAAGCAGTTCTTCCAGGAAAGGGACACAAGTTGGGCCGACAGCAGGGGTGGGAGGGTCAGGACAGGCCTGGGGGTCCCTTCGGGTGCTAACACTCTTCATCTGAGGCAGCCTCTCTGTTGGTGCCAGAATCAGCTTTCTTACAGAAGGACCATTTACACTCAAGCCCCAAGGACTTGGTTCCCAAATGCACACGGGACTGCGATGGGGGTCCTGACCGGCACCCAGGAGAGCTGAGTCCCAGGACCACCAAGGAGCTCGAGCTCTGTGAGAATCAGCCCTCCCAGGGCTGAAGCGCACGCAGCTGTAAAGGCGGGGCTGAGCGGTGGGGGTGGACCGCAGGTTGCTTCCCAAGACTGTGCTCACCTCTGCCTCTGACTGGGGACCTGACCCAGCTGGGAGGGTGAAAGGAGGCATGACAGGGAGGGCGACTGTGACCTCCATCACATGGGGAGGGAGCTTCGCTTGGAAACCCATGTGTCTGTGGCTGACTTCAGAGCGCAGCAGTGCAGACTTGCCCGGCATCCCACGGTTCTCCTAGTGGGCTCCTCACGCAGTCTCTAGCAGGCGCCCCCTCTGTGTCTCTGCTCTGCCCGAGTTTTCCCATTCCCAGCCCACGCACAACGCCCAGGTAGAGAACAGGACATAAGAAGTTTTGGGTGTTACAGGGTAAATGGGATGCCAACCTATCTCAGAAAGACTCCAGAGTATCAGGTGATGTGACAGCATCTCCTAGACTACATCAACAGGACAGATGCTTGCTGCTCTCCAAGTGACAACTTTCTGCTCTGAAATCTGACCTTGGGTTTGCTGGAATCACCACACCCTTTAGTTTTCTTCTGGCCCCTCAGCTTGCTGCGCCCAACTGTGCTAGGCGGGCAGGTGCCCTGCCCCCCAGCCTGCTGGGACCCCCACCATCCCACCCCATCCTCCTGCCTGCCCTGCCTTTGGGCAGCACTGACCATGCACATGCTGCCATTCTCGTCTGTCCTTTTCCTGCTGTGTCCTCATAACTGAGACCCCTAGAGCTCCTTGCTGGGCACCCCACACCTTCATTCACTGCTAGATAAAATATTCACATATCCGGGCAGGCACGGTGGCTCATGACTGTAATCCCAGCACTTTTGGAGGCTGAGGCGGGTGGATCACAAGGTCAGGAGATCGAGACCATCCTGGCCAACATGGTGAAACCCCATCTCTACTAAAAATACAAAAACTATCTGGGTGTGGTGGCATGTGCCTGTAATCCCAGCTACTTGGGACGCTGAGGCAGAAGAATCGCTTGAACCAGGGAGTCGGAGGTTGCAGTGGGCCAAGATGACACCACTGCACTCCAGCCTAGCGACAGGGCAAGACTCCATCTCAAAAAAAAAAAAAAAAAATTGCATATCCTTGGGCTTCAAGGCCGCGCTCATAAGCACAGCCACTTTGGGCAGCTTCCGGAGTTTCAACCTCCCCAGGCAGAGACCTAGGGGAACAATGGCCTTTATATTTGTCTGCAGTATCATTCCTGGGAACAGGCCCTCCTCAGCCACCTGAGGAGCAGCTGACTGGGGCATGAGCTGAGGTAGGTGCCTGCCCTTCACTCTTTGAAAGCCACCCCTGGATAGCACCCTCATTAGAAGGAAGGCAAGCCAGCACCTGTGGTCACTGTCACGGGTGTCATGGGAGGCCACAAGGCCAGCACCCCAGCCCACCCGCCATGGGTGATCATCAGAGCAGGCACCAAGAAAGCCTCCCGGGCCACACTCCCTGGGGGAAAGGGACACACGCCGTACCCCTCAGGCCCACACCGACCTCTGGGTCTGGATTCTGAGGAGCTGAGGAAGAAGCCTCTGTGGCTTCTGTTAGCAGAGCTGGGGCAGAGGAGCAGACAATGACATCATCATCAGGGATTTACTGAAGAGAAATGTGGGCTACAAAGATAACGCAAAGGTGATGAGAATTCTTCCATGGAAGAATAGACAGATCAGGGCCCATCCATCCATGGAATATGATTTGGCCATTAAAAAGGCAGGAGGTCCTGACACAGGCTGCAACGTGGATAGACCTGAGGACACCGTGATCAGCGAAATAAGCCAGACACAGGACAAACACTGTGTGACTCCACTCATGTAGGGTCCCTGGAGTAGTAAAATCCAAAGAGACAGAAGTAGAGGGTGAGCACCAGGGGCTGAGGGAGGGGATGTGGAGTTGCTGTTCCATGGGGACAGAGTTCCAGTTTGGGAAAAGGGAAGAGTTCTGGAGATGGACGGTGGCGGCTGCACAACACTGTAAATGTCCCTAATGGCACTGAGCTGTGTATTTTAACATAATGAAAACAAAACCGTGGCGATGGGGAAATGGCATCATCTCCCCAGTGCAGAGGGCCCTGGCCCAGCCCCTGGCTTTCTCACTTCAGTGCCTCTCTCCTGGTCAAACCCTGAACCCATTGCCCTCCTTGCCAGGCCTGTGCTCTCTAGCTGACTGGACCATGGGGGTATTTCCAGGGGAAACAGTTTCTTTTTCGTCTGTCTGTGGAGCATCTGGCCTGGGCCAAGCAGATCCCAGCTGATCTGAGGGCCACCCCTGAGCTTGTTATACACTCACTTTCTCTTTGGCCAGCCATGAGATGTTAACAGTGAATAACAAAACAGTCACTATTTGCTGCTGCTGGGGAGACAGGGTGATTGCACCAGAGCCACCTCTAACACGCTGCCCCGTCGGAAGGTCTGAGGCCCCTGGATCCCCAGGGTCTCTGGCTCACAAGGCACATATGGGATGATGTACAGGGTAGGGATCACCACCATCTTAACCTGGGGCCACATCACCCATCTACCTGCTCCAAGCCACAAAACAAAAGTGAAAAGCAAACAGAAAGCAAAACCGAACTACTTCCAATGCTGGCTGGCTGGTGCCACTCTCCAGGCCTGAGCAAGTCCTGTCCTGGTCAGTGCCACCGAGCGGGAGCTTGTGCCTGGCCAGTCCCCCTTTAGCGCCCTCCCGGGGCTGTGGCATGCCAGGGAAGCCAAGGCCACGTGCACAGTCTTGTATGACCCCAGGGAGCTGGGGCCCGGGCTCGGCCTTCGATGTCCCCCAGAAGGCAGGTGGAAATGCCCAGGCGACCTCCAGGAATGGTCTTCCCAAGCCCACGACCCCAGCGATGCCGCTAAGTTAGTGCTGCCAAGATTGCTGGAGAGCCCTGCGCTGGTCCTGAATAGGCTGGTCCAGGCTTGGTTCAGTTTGATTCCAGTGCTTTGAAATGCTGAGGGCATCAGGTGTTGGAAAGGGGCGATGGTGCTTATGTGGTCAGGGCAAGTGCGCCCACCGCTGCCTGTTAGGGGCTCAGTCAGGCCCAGGCCCCTCTCCAGAGCACTTGTGGCAGCCCAGCAGCCCAGCAGCCCGGCCAGCCTCTCCTCTCACCCAGTGTCCTGCACTCTCCTGCAGCCTGTGGAGCCCCGAGCTCCCGAAACTCTTTCCTGCCCTCCTGCCTCCTGCTCCACTGTCCCCTGCCCGAAACAGGCCCAGATTCGGCTCCTCCGCCTCTCGGCCCCTCCACCCACCCAGGCTTCCTGATCCTTCCTCAAGGTGCAGCTTCTCCTAGAGGCTTGCTGGGTCTCTGTCTGCTCTGTCTTCAGCATGCCCTGCCTGGATGCTGCCCCACTGTGACCCTCCATAATGGGCTCTGCACAGATGGGGACCAGGTGGATCCTAGGTCAGACTTCCCACCACACAGAGGCCCCCTGGGGAGGGAGAATTAGCACAGCAGGTGATGGAGTAGCACTCGAGGTCAGTGTGACCCGGCCAGGGCTCTCCTTTCCTCTTTTGGAGGATCATGGTGGTAAATGAGGCAATGTGCAGAAAGCAGTGGGCAGGGCCCAGCACATCCTAAGTCCTCAGTGTGTGTTCCCAGCTGTGCTGTTACTCACCAATTCAGAACCACTCACAGGAAGAAGCAAAGGCCTGCCTGATGCTGCTTTTTGCTGTGTTTAACACTTTCTTAAAACTGGCAGTCAAAACGAATGCTCAGATTCAGCACTTTCTAAGTCTTAAACCACACACATCTCAGAAATTTCAAAAGATGAAGGAATGGCCAGGCGCGGTGGCTCACGCCTGTACTCCCAGCACTTTGGGAGGCCGAGGCGGGTGGATCACGAGGTCAGGAGATCGAGACCATCCTGGCCAACACGGTGAAACCCCATCTCTGCTAAAAAAAAAAAAATACAAAAAATTAGCCGGGCGCGGTGGCGGGCGCCTGTTGTCCCAGCTACTCAGGAGGCTGAGGCAGAAGAATGGCGTGAACCCGGGAGGCGGAGCTTGCAGTGAGCCGAGATCGCGCCACTGCACTCCAGCCTGGGAGACAGAGTGAGACTCCATCTCAAACAAACAAACAAACAAAAAGATGAAGGAATGGCTGCTTATGGACAGTGAGGGGCCACTGTGTGAACCCCAAGTTCAAGCATTCATCTGGCATGCCTGAGCAGAAAAGGGAACCCTGGAAGCTGCAGCTCGGCTCCACTCGGCAGCAGGAACGAGCCACACCTCAGCGCACCCAGCCTACCAGGTCACCAGGAACAAAAATAAGCCCCAGTGTGAGCCAAATGGCAGGTGGTGACTGGGCTGGTCAGAGGACCCACCATTCTGCCTCGGCTCAGAGAAGGAGAGGCAAATCAACCCTGGCCCATCATATCACATCCTCGGTCCCCACTGCCCACTCAGCTGCACTCACTCGAGGATTCTGCCCTGCAGGGACATGTGGGGCTGTGGTGACTGGAGCGTGTGGTACTAATGCACCTGGTGGGTCCAGGCCCGGGATGCCGTTCAACACCCTGTGGTGCACGGGGCAGCCTTCCCAGAGGATGATCCGGCCTGAACGCCATAGTGCCTCGGGGGAGACGCCCGGTCCGGGGAGCCCAGTGAGGGGAGTGGCTCCCACACTCTTTCCAGCAACTGGTCCTCACCTTTTTGCTCTCGGGCAATCTTCCGCACTCCTTCTCGGAATTCTGATAACACCTGAAGGTAGGGCATGACTGTGGCCTCGAGCTGCGGAAAGAACAGTTTTGGTTCACTGAGAGCTGCTCACACTCCCATATTCATAACAGAATAATAGCTCAGTGGCCGCGACACAGGGCAGGGACTGGCATGGGCAGTGCTGCTGTGCACACTACAGCTGTGACCGGCATCCCAGAGCCTGGACGCTCTCGTCCCTGACACACAGTCCCTGCTAGGTGTGCGAGTCACACAGACTCTCAGGCCAGAGAGCATGAAGTGAGCTTCCTTTCTACTGCAGCAGGTGGGTCTGCCGCCGCTCTGCCCAGCTGCTGACAGGCCCTGCTTTCCTCAGGTCAGACACGCTGCTGTGAAACAGCTTGTCTTTATGGTTTCAGAGGGGCCAGCTCTGGGAGGGACTATTTCCTAAGGAGCCCAAGGACATCACTCCCCAGGCTGGGGCCTTACCTATGCTGAGGCTGGCGGCTCCCGGGCCGTGCTTTCGTCTGATCTGTGGTCACACATACACTTGTTTAAGATGAATGATCTCCATTAAGCACCTACTATCTACATGCACATTAGCAGCTACACGTAGATTCACCACCCACAGTAACACTGGGGAGGTGGCCACAGGATAGAAAAACCTTTCTACTATATTTCCCTTTTTTTTTTTTTTTTTTTTTTTTAAGACGGAATCTTGCTCTGTTGCCAGGCTGGAGTGCAATGGTGTGATCTCGGCTCACTGCAACCTCAGCCTCCCAGGTTCAAGCGATTCACCTGCCTCAGCCTCCCGAGTAGCTGGGATTACAGGCAAGCGCCACCACGCCTGGCTAATTTTTGTATTTTCAGTAGAGATGAGGTTTCACCTTGTTGGCCAGGATGGTCTCAATCTCCTAACCTTGTGATCTGCCCGCCTTGGCCTCCCAAAGCATTTCCCCTTTTTTTTTTTGAGATGGAGTTTTGCTCTCATTGCCCAGACTGGCATGCAATGGCGATCTCGGCTCACCGCAACCTCCACCTTCCAGGTTCAAGCGATTCTCCTGCCTCAGCCTCCCGCGTAGCTGGGATTACAGGCATGCGCCACTACGCCCAGCTAATTTTGTATTTTTAGTAGAGACAGGGTTTCTCCATGTTGGTCAGGCTGGTCTCGAACTCCCGACCTCAGGTGATTCACCCACCTCAGCCTCCCAAAGTGCTGGGATTACAGGCGTGAGCCACCATGCTGTGCTAGCATTTCTCTTTTTCTAATAGGACAGGAAAGGTTTTAGGCTTTTGAGCAAGGTTGCTCCCTGCCCCTTAGCTGATTCAGCAGCTCAGTAACCAAAATAAAAACATTAGCAAGTGCTGGCTGGGCGCGGTGACTCACAACTGTAATCCCAGCACTTTGGGAGGGCGAAGTGGGTGGATCATGAGGTCAGGAGTTCAAGACTAGCCTGGCCAACATAGTGAAACCCCCGTCTCTACTAAAATACAAAAAAAAATTAGCCGGGCATGGTGGTGCATGCCTGTAGTCCCAGCTACTCAGGAGGCTGAGGCAGGAGAATCACTTGAACTCGGGAGGCAGAGGGTGCAGTGACCGGAGATTGCGCTACTGCACTCCAGCTGTGGAAAGAAGAGCTTTTGTTCGCTGAGAGCTGCTCACACTCCTATATCCATAACTGAATAATAGCTCAGCGGCCACGACACAGGGCAGGGACTGGCATGGGCGACAGAGTGAGACTCTGTCTCAAAAACAGAAACACACAAATTTAGCAAGTGCAAAAGTCAGGCAGGCTAGCAAGCCCTTAAGTCTAAGCCAAGCTCCCTGAGACCCAATTCTGCATCTGAACTTTGGACTTCTTGGGGGTTTTCCATCTGTATCTCCACCCACCACACAGCCAGCCCAGACAAGCCTTGGGGAAGGACAGAAAGGGAGGCATTCACCCCACTGCTAGGCTCAGTTCCAGCCCTAGGGGCACTGGAGGGGAACTCTCAGAATGGCTGCAGGGGTGTGTCTCAAGAACGCCTGGGGCTGCAACCCCCACCTGAGCATGCTAGCAGGTGGCTGTGTGGCGACACTGAGGTGGTACAAGATGGAGGAACTGCCTCCCTTGCTCCTAAAACCATTTGGATTTGGAAGTTAATCCATGAACGTCAAATGGCCATGATGTGTGGGCACAGGACGTTTTGTCAGCAGGCTCACCATTCGCCGCAGCTGCTTCTTCGCAATCAGCTGACTGCAAAGGCCAAATGAGGCTGCCTGGGGGATGCGGATGCGTGTCCACAGCACGCTGAAGGCACCCCCACAACCACAGCAGCCGTTAAGATGAAAAACACTGCAGTTCAAAGGCAGGCTGACTTTAACCCAGGAGGTGTGTTTTGGTTTTTTGTTTTTAAAGAAAATAAATATCTTAGTATCATTTGCGCAAGAGAACAAAGAAGCTATGTGGGTTTTCTTAAAAGCACCAAAGAAGGTTCATATCAGGAAGTCTCAAAAATACCACACCAACTACCACAACCAAGCTAGCTAGCGCTAAGGCTGGCAAAAGGCACCAGGCACATGGGCTAGGTGCTCTGGCAGGACTTCTTACAACACGGACTGTTTTCTCTTTGCAAGTTGGTTCCTGGGGGAGCATCTGTAAGCTCCATCCGCATGGGGGCTCTTCACACCACTTGTCATTAGGAAACAGGATTTTAAAAAGGTTTTGCATTTTGACTTTGTATTAAGCTCCTGTTTTAATTAAAATTACAGTTGTTCTATTTAAATATTTAGATCTGCATTCTAATCGAATAGTCAAAGAGCATTCTTGACCTGGGAGCAGGTGGAAGTCCATCTTTAAGAAGCCTGACTGTGGGTGTGTCAGACGGGACAGGGGTTCTACAGCAGAAGGATAGGACTGACAGTGTGTGTCTGCTCACATGCCAACTGCAAACAGAAGCCAGCAACAGACTGCCAGGGTGTTCTGGATGGATTTTCTCACCGCACAGACCCACTAGACAGGGGGCTCTACAGGATGACCTCCCCCTGACCTGTGGGCCACAGCTCTGGGGCAGGGGGTCCTGGCTCAGGCCATGTGGACCGACCTGGGCTCAGGGTCAGGACTGGGCCTGTTAGGGCATCTGCCCAGCCCCATGGGGACCGAGGCAGACAGTGGCGTATCTCCCCATCAGTGTAAATTCTGTGCTGTTTGTGAGCTCTGCAGCCTTTCGATGAAGCATTTACTGAATACAGGTCAGTATATGTGATGAAGTCATGTGTGTTCATGATGCCAAGTGGCCGCAGCAAAATGCAAATAAGCAGCGGCCTATGTAGTTGGGGTCCAAGACCAAGCTCATGGGACAGCACAATGGCAAAGTGCCCCAAACCAACAGTCACAACCAAAGCAGACCCTCCACACCGGCAGGGCAGCTGACCACACTTAGCACTCTCAGAGCCAGAATTGCCATTTAGCTCGAGGCGCTGTCCGGAAGGGTCTGGTGTGGGTGGGCAGACAGAGGAGGGGCAGTTCAGAGGGACACAGAGGGGTAGGGAGTGGGGAGGGAGCAGGTGCAGAAGGCAGGACCCTGCATGCTACTCACACTGAGGCTGGTTCCAGGCCCTCCGACCGGGAATCCCAGGGAGCTGTCCTCTTCTACGGCCCCAAAGATCTAGGAAAAGAAACAGATGGGACCTGAAGCTGCGGCAAGATGAAGGCGGCATGTGGCGAGCAGCTGTGAGCTGTGTTCCTCGTTCACGGGAGGGGGTGCCCCAAGACCAGGAAAGAGATGGAAGCAGCAGCTCCAGGAGCCCCAGAAACCCGAGCCTGAGGGTGCCCTCATTGCTCCAGGATGGCCCTGACTCACAGCTACCCTCTCCAGCTCTGTTTCAGCCAGAAGCCACTGGAGCCCAACAACAAGGAAAGAGGAGGAGAGGGGAGGGGAGTTGAGTCCAGGCCCTGCTGGCCTTTCAAGGTGCACTGCGGGGAAGGGCTCTGCACAGGATGTGTTCAGAGAGGAGGCCTTGTCCCTGGTTTTGCTTCTCTTTTTTTTTTTTTTTTGAGATGGAATCTCACTCTGTCGCCCAGGCTGGAGTGCAATGGCGCAATCTTGGCTCACTGCAAGCTCTGCCTCCTGGGTTCATGCCATTCTCCTGCCTCAGCCTCCCGAGTAGCTGGAACTACAGGAACCCGCCACCATGCCTGGCTAGTTTTTTGTATTTTTTTTAGTAGAGACGGGGTTTCACCGTGTTAGTCAGGATGGTCTCCATCTCCTGACCTTGTGATCCGCCCGCCTTGGCCTCCCAAAGTGCTGGGATTACAGGTGTGAGCCACAGCGCCTGGCGTGGTTTTGCTTTTCAAACTCCAAGATGGGAGTAGAGGGAAACGGAGTCAAAGGAAAGAAATAGCTCTGAGTAAGGACAACTATATGGATGTTACTTATTTTTGTCTGGTTTTGAGACAGGGTCTCCCCTCTATTGCCCAGAGTGGAGTGCAGTAGTGCAATCACACCTCACTATTCAACCTCCTGGGCTCAAGCGAGCCCCTCACCTCAGCCTCCCAAGCAGCTGGAAAACAGGTGTGTGCCACCACACCTGGCTAATTTTTAATATATTTTATAGACCCGGGATCTCACTATGTTGTCCAGGCTGGTTTTGAACTCCTGGGCTCAGGTGATACACTCACCTGGCCTCCCACAGTGTTGGATTATAGATGTGAGCCACTGTGCTCCGCTTATGGGTGTTATTTCTAACGCGTGAAAAGCACACCAGGAACCAAAGAGGACAGAAGCATATCTCCACGTCTCAGAGGTGCTGGGCACCAGGCACAGCACTGGGGGGCACCAGAGGCCTCTGTTCTCCCAGTCCTGGGGCCTGGCTCCTGTGTCCACACAGGCTGAGGGATACGCCTGCCTGGGGCCTGGCTTACCTTCAGCATATGGGTGAGGTACAGGGCGATGTTCTCCAGCAGAGCCTGGTTGGGCCTCTTCCTCACGGCTTTCCGGGCTGCCATATAGAGGTTGCACTGACTGACCAAGGCCCGCATCTCTTCCATGACGGTGCGGGTGTCAACATTGTCACAGAGGGCTTTGTGAATTGCTGTCTTCTTGTCATAAAAGCTGAGCAACAAAGAGGAAGGAATGTGAAGTCAGACCTGAAAACACACCATAGAAATTCCCCATGTGGCCAGGCGCAGTGGCTCACGCCTATAATCCCAGCACTTTGGGAGGCTGAGGTGGGCGGATCACCTGAGGTCGGGAGTTCGAGACCAGCCTGACAAACATGGAGAGACCCCCACCTCTACTAAAAATCAGAAATTAGCCAGGTATGGTGGCGCATGCCTGTAACCCCAGCTACTCGGGAGGCTGAGGCAGGAGAATCGCTCGAACCCGGGAGGTGGAGGTTGTGGTGAGCCGAGATCACGCCACTGCACTCCAGCCTGGGCAACAAGGGCGAAACTCCGTCTCAAAAAGAAAAAACAAAAAAGAAATTCTCCATGCACTTCAACACCCAGAGCAGCTCCCATTAGCAGAGCCGCCTATCCTGAATTAATTCTGCACAACGTACGACAGTGTCCCCAGCCCTTCCTCGACAGTCCAGGACACATGGTGGCCAAGATGCGAGGCTAGGCATAGAACATGGGCATGCTCAAAAACCCCAAAGAAATGGCACCACCTTACTTCTTATTCAGTTCTGCTTCTTCTTCTCCCCACTTCTCAAACTGACCAGTGATGTCAACAGGAGCGCGAAGGATATCTTTCACATTTAAGAAAAACTCCTGAAGTTAGAAAAATCAGTTTAACAGCATTTAGGCAACTTTTCCATCCTGAAATATCTGTTACAACTTTCTACTGCTGTGATTTTATTTTTGGTAAAAATCTGAAAGACCAGAATTACACAAGTGGTCAGAAAGAAAGGAAAAGATATTTCTTTGACAGAAACATGTTCTTGCTTTAGGTTTACAGATGCTCATTTGGTGGAAAGTACAAGTCAGAAGGACGTGCACTGCAGTGACTAGGAGGACGAGGCCTCTGTCCACTCTGCTGAGCCGTCAGCCATTTCAGGAGTGGCCCCGAGCCTGTTATACCCACTAGCATGGAGGTGCTTCCACCCATGTGCTGGTCTCCATTAGAGACATCGGGAGGCTGGTGCACCTATCACCACTGCACAAGGTGCCCACTGTGCAGGGGAGGCTGCTCCACCAACCTCCAGGAAGGGGCTGGGGACTCACATTCAAGAACTTCTCATATTGAAGCGCTGACTCCATGGTGTTGCTGGAGTAGTCCAGGGTGTCCTTCCACGAGTGCATGAGGAAGGCCAGCCGCAACTGCCGTGCTGTGGGGGGACACAAGACAGCCAACGCCCTTATTCTCCCGAGTGCTACAGCCATTACACATGTATGAGAAGGTGGTTGGGGGGTCTGTGGGAGAAGCCAGTGTATACCTGAGTGCTTTTTCAAGGCATCTTTAATGGTGATGAAGTTTTTTAGTGACTTTGACATTTTGCAGCCTGCAATGGTCAGGTGGCCTGTGTGCAGGAAGTACCTGACCCAGCAGTCGTTTTCAAAGTAGGCCTGCGTGGAAAGAGACAAAGGATGTCAACAGTCATGTGTTACTGGGGCCGCCTCCTGCCACCTGCACTGTCTGCTGCCTTGTTGGTGCTGTCCACAGGCAGGAGCTGTGTTTTCCAGGTGGTGCAGGCAGGGCTTGGAAGGACAGCCCAGGTTAATAAGCCAGCAGGTAACACAACTGGTTCAAATCCAGGCTAGTCTGTTGCCAAAGGCCAGGCTGTCAATGCGGAAACCACACTAAATGATCAGGGTTCAGATTCCACCCACAAGCCCCGATGAAGGTGTCAAGTTCTAGTGAGAGAGGCCCTTCTGAGGCCTGGGCTGACTTTTCCTCCACTGCAGTATGAACACTGTGCTCTTGCACCTGACAAGGGGACTCTGTTTTCACCTACCTCCGACTGTGCCAGCTCATTGTCATGGTGGGGGAACCGGAGGTCGAACCCACCTCCGTGAATGTCCATCGAAGCCCCTAGGAGGGTGCCTGCCATGGCCGAGCACTCGATATGCCAGCCCGGACGACCCTGGAGAAAGCCGAACACACAGTGACTGACCAGCCTACCCGCTTGTCCAGGCCTTTATCACTTATCACTCCAAGTTGATGGCCCTTACATCCTCTGAACTTTATTGGAACAAGCGTTAAATCCCGCACATGAAAAGACTAAGGGAAGGCTGGGCGAGATGGCTCACACCTGTAATCCCAGCACTTTGCGATGCCGAGGCAGACGGATCACCAGGTCAGGAGTTCAAGACCAGCCTGGCCAACATGGTGAAACCCCGTCTCTACTAAAAATACAAAAAAATACAAAAATTAGCTGAGCATGGTGACGTATGCCTGTAATCCCAGCTACTCAGGAGGCTGAGGCAGGAGAATTGCTTGAACCGGGACTAGGAGGCAGAGGTTGCAGTGAGCTGAGATCGCGCCACTGCACTCCAGCCTGGTGACAGAGTGACACTCTGTCTCAAAAAAAAAAAAAAGACTAAGGATAGCCTTCTTTGGTGAAGTTCATAAACCGGTCCTATGTGGGCCGAGGTTTAGGTGAAGTTACTGAATTACATCCAGACCTCTGAGCCCTTGACAGCTGCAGATGGTCACGCCCCTTCCTAGGGTACCCTGCAGTCAACAACTCCTGTCACCGGGAAGATCAGAACGCATCCTACACCCTGGGGCCTGGAATACTCAGAGTCACAGAACACAAGAACCAAGAAGCCTCCATGGACATCTACTCTGATCACATCTCCACTTACAGACCAGAAAACAGAAATCCCAGGAGGGAAGTGATTTGTCCAGAGACTCAGGGAGTCTCCATGATGTCCAGGTCCCCGGGGCCAGGCAGCCTGTGCTGCACCAGCACCAGGCTCTGGCCCAGTGACAACATCCTTCACACACAGAGCGGCCCTCTGCTGGGGGCCTGAGAGTGTGGCTGGCGCCAGTGCCCCTGTCCAAGCCCCACACCTTCTAGGCCACTCGCTCACCTTTCCCCAAGGGCACGGCCAGGACGGTTCTCCGGGCTTAGAGGCCTTCCATAAGGCAAAGTCGTTGGGAGAGCGCTTCTCACTCAGGCGGTCTGCAGAGATGCTCAGGTCACCTGCAAACACGAGGGACGCCAGGCAAGGTCACTCAGCAGCACCCACAGACCCACATGTCTCACTTCAAGGCCATCCACGGTGCCTAATGGGCAGTCCTTCTGACTAACTTCTGTTTATTAACTTGGCTCAAGCATTTCTTCAAGTTAACTATGTATTACCAGATTCTGGTGTTGACCCAGTGTCTAGATTTACAAAACGGTACATAATCCCCAAAGTCACCAGCTTATATACCTGGCTGACTTGAGGCCACATCTGGGGTCTCCGTAAGACATTCACCTTCCTGCTGCCTTCTCACAGCATTAGCCCACCAGTGTCTAGGACAAGTGATAAGAACCCTGGGCTAAAGCTAGGAGGTGACATAGTGGTGCAGCCACTGGGGCATGGCTCAGGGATCCTGCCTGGTTCATGCGGGTGGGGTCAATATGTCAAGGGCCCGCACAACTATCTGCTTATGGGTCCCGGGGGATACAAGGATGCAGCTAAGCTGCTGTGTACTACTGCAGGGAACCTGGTGGCAGTGCAGTGGTGAAGGGGACATTTGCTGTTCCTGTGTATTTATAAGGGGAAAATAGGTGAAGGAAACTAAAGAATAGTCCAGGAAGGCCATAAGAAAAGGGGAGTACTGCTCTTGGCACAAGTTCTATTTCCTGGACAAAGCCAATGATCACCTGGCCAACAAAAACAAGACTGTCTATGCCTTGCCAGAGGGATGAGAAATAACCCCTTGGTGAATTCCATGCATTGACTCGGTGACACTCAGCCACCTGACACTCAGGGTACAAGGCGGTCTGAGTCCCCAGAAAAGGAATGCACCATCACTGCAGATTTCTCTCAACAATACATGCAGGACCAATGGAAAAGATTAGCTGCTGTGAATAAAGAAACCTGTGAGCCAGTCCAAAGGTCACGCAGAGAATCACCCTTTGTTCGATGAATGGGCAGAGCAGAGGTCTTCACTCTAGGCATAAGGTTACCAGGACCCACGCCAGGTCTTGCCCGGCTGCTGCAGCCTTTCCTGGTCCCTGGTCTAAGGGCTGCCTTAGGTGCTGTCACCCCCTTGTGGAGGAAGAACAGACTCCATCTAGGGTTCTAACTCAGGTGACCCTGAAGAAGCTGCAGTGAGATCTTTCCAGGTGACAAATCCACTTTTCAGGAGCCTAATCAGGCAACAGACCTAAGCTGCCCTGAGAAACAGAGTCCAGAGGAAAAGCACCGCTAAATATATTTTTCTAAACACCAAGTTCATGATTATAAAATATGTACTAAATGTAGAATATTTGAAAGATAAAAAAAGAAAACTAGGAAAAAAATTGCCATTATCTTTTAACCTAGGAATTACTACTGTTACCATTTTGGTATACTGATTCCCAGATTAAAAAACAAACACACAAAAACACAAAAAACCTCTGCAAGCAAAATCCAGATCTATCCACCAACACGGAAGGCCGCTGTCCTGGCTTCCTTCTACCTCCGCACTGTTCTGCCACTGACAATTCCGCAAAAGCACAATGTGATATGGCCCATGACATTCGCTTTTAGATGCTCTTTGATAGAAAATATACATTCACGTTTTCAACTTTTCATTATTATGAACTTACTCATGAAAGTTTATATCTGATTTTTTAAAAATACGCTTTGAAAAAATTGATAACAGAGAACACAGGACCCTCCCCACAAACACCCTATCCTTCAGCAAACATCACACTGCAACTGCCCTCATAGGGTTAATGAGAATTCCAAGGCAGGCTATAGGCAGAATGATGAGGCCGGTCACTGGCCAGGTGCAGTGCACGTCCATCCGCTTCCCTGCAGCTCTAACTGAGAGTCACATAGCACGCTGACCACCTGCTCCACCACTGTTCCTAGCGATAGAATCTCTAACCCTGGACCTTTTTACCAAGAACTGCTTAAGGTATTTTTTGGATCCTGAATTCCAGCAGGACAGCTGTTGCCAACTGGTCTGAAGACCTGCACCAAGGAACTGACTCGTCGCAGAAATGTGGTTTACCTCCCTGTCCCATGACTTCGCCCCTCACTTCCCCAGCAACCGGCAATCCCCATCACCTGTCCAGAGCAATTAAAAACCCCTCCCCAAATCTCAGGGAGGCGGATCTGAGGTTTCCTCCCATCTCCATTTGTCCACCATACAATTACTACGCTTCTTCTACGGCAACCCCTGGTATCCCGGTATACTGACTCGCTGTGCATTGGGCAACAGACCTATTATGGTTACAACACAATGTCTTTCAAGTTTTCCTTCTTGGTTTCATTTCCTGTCTCTCTCCCCAGAGGCAGAGTGAGTGTTTCTAGCTTTGACCCTACAAGCATGTTCATACCAGCACAACAGGGTCCTGTTCTCTCCCACTGGGGGAGCTTCCTCCCTGCACTAGGCCTTCCTGCCACGTGCCTTCCCGAGTGGTCTGCATGGCCCATCTGCCTCTGGTGGGTCATCTTACTTGGCGGAGTGAGGAGCTGTCATCATCTAGGACCACTTGGGCCCCAGCATCACCCCTCCCCTTTTCCTCTACCATTAGAGTCCCCATGGCGAGGAGCACATGACTGCACAGAGCTAAGGCTACACTCCTTATGACTCCCCATGGTGGGGGGAGGTTGCGGGGGTGGTCATGTGCCCACGTCTGATCACTGACTGTGGAGGGGTGGAAATCCATGTCCCTCTTTGGTCCTGCATATTGGCTGTTAGATTCTACTCCTGTTTCCTGGAACTTAAACCAATGCTGAAGTCATTCTGGAAGAAAATGGGCCCAAGAATAAATGGTATTTAAGAAAAAGACCCTAGATGGGGCCAGATAGCAAAATTCATCATAAAGTGGTGAGTCAGTGTGCTCTAGCTGCCTCCAGAACATTCCTTCACCACGTGACCTGAGGGCACTGCTCCACTTACCACTCCCACCTTTCCCATGTGCTGCCAGTTCCCTCCCGGCATCTAAGTGTCAAATGCAGTGCGAGTTGTTCACGGCTTCCTCTAAGGACTTTAAGAAATGCTCTACTATATCCATAGTTACATTCCATTTTTGTCTTGTTATTCAAACATACATACATACATACATACATTCAAACACACACACAGGATCTTGCTGTCAGCCAGGCTGGAGTGCAACGGTGTAATCACAGCTCACTACAGCCTCGACCTCCCTGGCTCAAGCAACCCTCTTACCTCAGCCTTCTGAGTAACTGGGACTACAGGTGCATGCTACCACACTCAGCTAATTTTTAAAATTTTTGTAGAGATGCGGTCTCACTACATTGCCCACGATGGTCTTGAATTCCTGGCCTCAAGCGATCCTCCTGCCTCGGCCTCCCAAAGTGCTGAATTATAGGCATGAGCTATAATTCAGCCCTAATATGTTTTTCAATCTTCTACTTTTATTAATCAAACTTGCTAAGGGTTCTTCTATATTATTTTTTGAGAAGAATCAGCTTTTGGCTTTTACAATTGTTTCTGTTTCTTTAATCTCTGATTTTACTTTATTTCCTCCTATTTCTTTCTACTTCTTCTTGTTCCTTTCCCAGCTTTTTGACTGACTGCTTAGCTCACTTATTTCCTTTTTTTTTGTTTGAGATGGACTCTTGCTCTGTCACCCAGGTTGGAGTGCAGTGGCACGATCTCAGCTCACTGCAACCTCCGCCTCCAGGGTTCAAGCGATTCTTCTGCCTCAGCCTCCCGAGTAGCTGGGACTACAGGCATGCGCCACCACACCCGGCTAATTTTTGTATTTTTAGTAGAGATGGGGTTTCACCACATTGGCCAGGCTGGTCTCGAACTCCTGACCTCGTGATCCGCCTGCCTTGGCCTCCCAAAGTGCTGGGATTACAGGCGTGAGCCACTGCACCCGGCACCTCACTTATTTTCCATCTTTGTTTTTTAATAACTACATTTAAAAACATCAGTTTCCTCTAATTGGTGCTTTAGGGGCATTCTCCAGATTTGGTGTGTGGCACCTTTGCTGCTGTTCTGCTTAAACACCCCTGATTTCCCACTGTGGTTTTCTTTCCTAGGAGTTATCCAGGAGCATGATTTCAACCCCCCAGACAAGTTTGTACATTTTAGACGTCCGTCCTGTCAGTGCTGGTATCTTTTTTATTTAAAAAAAAAATTTTTTTTAATGTCTTTGAGACAGAGTCTTGCTCTGTTGCCCAGGCTGGAGTGCAATGGCACAATCAGGGCTCACTGCAGCCTTGACTTCTTGGGCTGAAGTGATCCTCCTGCATCAGCCTCTTAAGTAGCTGGGACTATAGGCACGTGCCACCACACCCAGCTCATTTTTAAATTTTTTGTAGAAAGGGGGTCTCCCTATGTTGCCCAGGTTGGTCTGGAACTCCTGGGCTCAAGCGATCCTCCTGCCTCGGCCTCCCAAAGTGCTGGGATTACAGGTGTGGGTCGCCATGTCTGGCCAAGTGTTGTTATCTAATACAATCGCTCCATGGTGACAGAATGAGGGCTCCTTGACAGAATGAGGGTTCCTTGAAAACGGTTCTTTGAGATTTGTGGAAATCTTTCTGTGGCCTGGCATATGTTTCTGTGTTCTTGGAAGGAAAGGATGTTCTTTAATTCCTGAGTGCAAAGTTCCCAGCTCTCAAACCAAGCCTGTTAACTGTATTTCAAACCTTTCATATCCATATTAATTCTTGGCCTACTTGATCTGTCAACTCCTGGGAAGTGCATGAAACGTGGGCATGTCCACTCTGGTTCTAGGGTAGTGAAGCCTTCTGGTCTAGAGGCCCAGGCTGCATCCTCTCAGAGCTGAGGCGCTTCATCATCACAAACCCGCCCCTCTACTCCCACAAACCCGGAGCCTGAAATGCCATGGGTCTGATATTTATGTGTCAACCTGGCTATCTCTATCTTTCTTCAGTCTGTGTTGTCTGGTTTTATTTTATTATATATTTTTTTGAGACAGAGTCTCATTCTGTCACCCAGGCTGGAGTGCAGTGGCACAATCTTGGCTCACTATAACCTCTGCCTCCTGGGTTCAAGTGATTCTCATGCCTCAGCCTCCTGAGTAGCTGGGATTACAGGCAAGCACCACCACACCTGGCTAATTTGTGTATTTTTAGTAGAGATGGGGTTTCGCCATGTTGGCCAGGCTGGTCTCGAACTCCCAACCTCAGGTGATCCACCCACCTCGGCCTCCAAAAGTGCTGGGATTATAGGCGTGAGCCACCGCACCTTTATTTTAGGTTCTGATATTTCTTTAGAATAGAGCCTAAAATTAGATAAAAGTATGAACATTTTTATGGCCAAATTGTCTTCCAGAAACACTAGGACAGGCGGGGTGGGGGTGCAGAACGTGCCCTGGCACATTGCGGGAATCCCCACTCTGCAGGGAGGCTTCCAACCTTGCCTCTTGTGGATGTGTCCCCAGATTCACTTAAGGGATAAACATGAAGAAAACACCAACGAAAGGGTTCCCAATATAATTCTGCCTGGTCTAGAAAAAGTCTGATATCTGTGTTTGAAGCATTTGGATCCAGATGGGCGCACAGGCTGTTGTCAAATATGCATCACTCGGCACACATCCCAGCACCCCACAATCCCCCTAAACCTCACATGCTCAGCCAGCAAACACCAGCCCTGTGAATCCAGGCCCCAGGGGCCACTGTGTTTCTCAAGACAGCACTGCGTTTACTGTCTTTTGTTTCTTAAAAAATAACACACCATAAAAAAATGACATCTTGTCTTTTACAGCAACATGGATGGAACTGGAAGACGTTCTGTTAAGTGAAATAAACCAGGCAGAGAAAGACAAATATCACATGTCCTCTCTCTTATGTGGGAGCTAAAAAACGGTGGACCTCAAGGAGGTGCAGCATAGAACAGTGGTCACCAGAAGCTGAGAAGGGTCAGGTCAGGGGCAGTGAGTGGGGAGAGGTTGGTTTCTAGGCACAAACACACAGACAGAAAGAATAGGTTCTTGTGGTCACTAGCACAGTAGGGTGACTATAGTTACCAAAACATTTGTTGTATATTTCAACATAGCCAGAAGATCTGGAACATTCCCAATGCAAAGAAAAGGTAAATGTCTAAGGTGACGAGCATCCTAACTACCCCGATCATCACACAGGGTGTGCATGTATTAAGACATCACATGTTCCCCATAAATTGCATAATTATTATATATCCATTAAAAAAACACATGTCATGGTCTTAGAGCTGCACAATGTTGAGTGCAGAAAACTCCTAAAATTCCTTCAGGTGAAAAAGCACTGTTCCCAAGAGTCTGAGGGGTGGGCTCAGCGCAGCCCCCGTGGCCTGCAAAGTCAACACAACCCAGGCTGGGCCAGGAGGGAGAGCCCACATGCTCTCAGGCATGCCCTCCTCACCTTCCCCTTCTTGAAGGGCTTTCTGATCTCCAACGGCCTCAGGCACCAGCTTCCCATAGGAGTGCTTCTCGCTAGAAGCAAACTTCGCTGTATCAAAGTAGACAGACCCATTGGAGACATAGCTGGAAAACAGAAAAGGAATTGGGTGGGTGCATCTAACAGACCCGAAAGTGTGTCAGCAGGATGACAGTAACAAAATAAAGCAGGGCTATAAAAGTGCGAAATCTGTGGCCTATCTACTCTCTGTGGTGGCCACTGAAAACCGTATCAGCTGTTTGGACTGAGTGGGACACCAGGGCCCATCCCGCTGCGGAGGCAGCCTGCCTGCCCTGGGCAGCTCGTCCCTCTGCCTGGCGTCCTGTGACCCATGCAGCTCCCACCCTGCCTTGCTCAGGGCTGCTGCCGTCCTCATTCTTGTGTGGCCTCACCTTTCCCTGAATGTCCACACTCTACCCATTAGCTTAGCTGAGGCTCTTGGCCTCCAAGAAGCACTCTAGATTACTCCAGTCTGGAATGACCTGTCCTCTCTGAGCTTCGGCTTGCCCATGCCTCTCGGCTTGGCACAGGCTCTTATGCTGCCCCACAGTAGTTTGTGTGAAGTGGGGAGAGAAGCAGCGCTACTGCTTAAGAGTCTGCCCCGTTCCTGGCACTGTCACAACCTCTTGTTTCTCTTTCAGCCAGCCTGTGTGGTTCCTGTGGGAGGGAAGCAATCTGAGGCTGGACACAGTGGGTCTCTGGGAGCAGGCGCACGGTACAGTGCTGAGCACTACTGTGGGCGGCAAGCCACCCAGGTGCCGAGGCAAGAGACCAAGGGCACGAGCTGTTCCAGTATAATAAAATATAAAATAAGAATAGTTATACCAGATATAGATCTTAGATATGATTATATATGAATATCATTAATCATTAGTTTGTAGCAATTACTCTTTATTCCAATATTATAATAATCCTCGCTCTATAATCATAATCTAGGAAAAACCAGGCCATACAGAGATAGGAGCTGAGGGGACATAGTGAGGAGTGACCAGAAGACAAGAGTGTGAACCTCCTGTTATGCCCGGACACGGCCACCAGAAGGGTTCCTTGGTCTAGTGGTAACGCCAGCGTCTGGGAGGATGCCCGTTGCCAAGCGGACTGTGGTCTAGCGGTAGCGTAAGTGTCAAGGAAAAACACCCGCTACTTAGCAGACCAGGAAAGGGAGTCTCCCTTGCCCCGCGGGAGTCTGGAGAAGACTCTGCTCCTCCACCTCTTGTGGAGGGCCTGACATGAGTCAGGCTCGCCCGCAGTTATCCGGAGGCCTAACCGTCTCCCTGTGATGCTGTGCTTCAGCGGTCACGCTCCTAGTCCTCCTTCATGTTCCATCCTGTACACCTGGCTCTACCTTCTAGATAGCAGTAGCAAATTAGTGAAAGTACTAAAAGTCTCTGATATGCAGAAATAATGGCGTAAGCTGTCTCTCTCTGTCTCCTCTCTCTCTCTGCCTTGGCTGCCAGGCAGGGAAGGGCCCCCTGTCCAGTGGACACGTGACCCACGTGGCCTTACCTATCATTGGAGATGGCTCACTCTCCTTAACCTACCCCTTTGTCTTGTATCCAATAAATATCAGTGCAGCCTGGCATTCGGGGCCACTACCGGTCTCCGCGTCTTGGTGGTAGTGGTCCCCCGGGCCCAGCTGTCTTCTCTTTTATCTCTTTGTCTTGTGTCTTTATTTCTACAATCTCTCATCTCCACACATGGGGAGAAAAACCCACCGACCCTGTGGGGCTGGTCCCTACACACTACAGACAGATAACCGGGTTCCTGTCTGCATTTCCATTTGTTGGCCATTTCTGAAAATGCTTACTTTGGAGATTGAGACAATACGGGCCAGGGAAGTGTATGATGGATTTGCCAACAAAAAGTCACTAAAATCATAGCCAAGCGATAGATGCTGATGACATGCATCCTCCTTCGGGATATGACACCAGGACTAGCACTCTCAAAATGTCTACGCAATGGCACTGATGTCTGTGAAGGCCCAGCAGTATTCGCACTCACCATTATGCAGCTCTGGGGCCCCATGACTGATGGTCTTGGCTTCCGAGCTTCCCAGCAGATTCTGGGTTAGGTTCTCACCATGGCCCCCAGGACAGTGCAGACCCATGCTCCTCAGCCCCTGGGTGGGCCCAGAGTTGTAGGAGGAAGTCTGCTGGGACTTCTAGCTACGCAGCCCCAGAACACCTGCTCCTCTGCTTCCCAAACTCAGGCTCAGAGCTGGGGAGCTCCTCCCTGTGCGATGTTCTGCAGCCCTTCCCTCCCTAGGGAGGGCCCTTGTGCTTACCCGTAACCGTTGTCCACAATCTTCTGGACAAAGTTCACAATTTCTGGCACATACTCACTAACCCGGGTTAAGACATCTGGAGGGAGAACCTGTGCAAGACATGAGAATGTCCTGGGATTTTCCCTTCTGAAAACCACGCGCTCCATAAAAACGTTCCCAATTCATAAAACGAAAAGCCCATTATGCCCCTCAACTCAAGTTCAATGTTGACTTGGCCGCTTAATTGAGCTGGCCTTGCCAAAACAGGAATTTAGAAATCAGGGCCCTTAGCGCAAGAGAGCCAGCACAAGACAATCGTGACACTTACATTCAGAGCTTCCATGTCTCTGTGGAAGTCCCCCTCCCAGAACTTGGGCAGCTTGGAGAAGATGGAATTGTCAGTGACATCACAGCCAAGTGTAGAATCCAGCCAGTCAGAGAGCAAATCCTTGGCTTCTTCCAGCAACACCTGAAGAGAAAGAAACAAAAATCCAGCAGCGGGCCACACACTTCACATGAGAACATCTCGTGCAGCTGGTGTGAGCCCATCAGTGCCCTGAATTCAAAGGTGCTGACCTTGACCTGTGAAGAGCCACCGTCTCCTAGGGAGACTGTGATGCTTACACAACTGGCTCGGCAGGGACAAATACAAGACTCTACAAATGGGCAGGTCTCACATGAACTCAGAGGAGCAAAGCCAAGGGGACTGTGGGTGCAGAGGCAAAAAGAGGTGGGAGGGCCGAGGTGGGCCTGGTGAGCATGTGCAGCCTACCTGGGCCGTGCAGGGCAGGGTTATGGGCAGAGGCTGGGCAGGAGCACACAGTGTGTCACCTACAGCACAACCCCTTGGTGCATTCAGGAAAAGATTCATGACGGACACAGCCAGAGGTTAGGAGAGATAGGCAGGGCACTGGTCCCAGAGGTCTCAAAAGCCCCATCTCCCTGACGCCATTGACTGAAGATGCCATCCCCACTTGACACACCATGGAATGGGAGTAAAAACCACCAATCCCAGCAAAACATGGCACCTATGTGAACCAGGTCCTGACCACACACACTCTAGGCATGAGACACGCCCCAACTGCACTCATGTCAGAAAAGAGAAATGTCTACCCTCCGCCATCTTGGAGGGACCTAGAGTCTCAATGCACTGACGTGGACCCAGGACAGGGCGTGGCACCAAGCAGATGGTCTGTGGCCTACTATGGGAAGGGGAGGCAAAGAACCAAGGCTGGAGAGAAAAAGTGTAGGAAAATGGCCTGGCAGACAGCGAGGACACAGGGTGGACAAAGCCACAACACAGACAGAGAAGGGGCACAGGGCCCACGTGGGCCAGGTTCCTGATGCAATCCCTGCCTACAGCTCCTGAATCAAACAGATGTGTTAAATGTATTGCAGGCCTGCAAGTGGCAAGGCACGTCTGCAGGAATGAGCACACCCTCCCCACCGCGGCAGGGCATCCAGTGGGCAGACAAGCACCAAAAGCAGGGTGTGCGCTCTGGGGAGCAAAGGCTGCCAAGTCTGCTGCCCGAAAAGCAAACACTGGGCCTGCCCCAAGTACAGGGAAACGCGCATCCTGGCCCTCAGGATCACCAAGGTCACGACCCAGCAAGAACCGACATCCTAATCGAGGTCACCAAACACCCAAGAACATGAGCAACTGTGAATGGGAGTCAGCAGAAACGACAAACAGATGGACGCTTCAGATGGAGGAGTTATCAGATACATAATAAAATCCAGTAAATATTACAGGCTTAAAGACATAAGGACGGACTCCCAGATGACAGGCAATAGCAAGCAGGGACAGGCCAGCAAAGCGGCCCAGCTGGATCTGAAAATAGAAGCAAACGGAACCTGCAGAGATGAAATCTATTAACAGGCGAAACAGTCTTATCCATCCTACTGAGTGACTGTTTCACTTCCTGTCTGAAGGAGAATTTGTGAACAGGAAGACAGAACTGAAGAAGTCATCCAAAATGAAACAGAGACAAGAAGGAAAATTTTATGAAAGACAGGTTAGGAGACACGGAGAAGGATGAGATGAAATGATGAGACTCACATCTAATTGGCAACCCAGAGGAGAGGAGAGAGGGAATCGAGTAAAGGTGATACTTGAAGACACATCTGAGAATTTCTCAAAACCCATGCAACAATCCAGCCCCGGGAAGCACACAAAATATCCAATAGGATAAGTAAAAACAAATCTCTTACAATGTCTTTGTGAAATAGCAGAAAACTGAAAAGAGAGAATACTTTTATAATGCGCCTGATAGAAAAGACATATTTACCGATCAAAGAAAAGTAATTTGAAGGGCAGCCGATGTTTTCAACAACAGCCAACAATGGAAGCCAGAAGACGGCAACCACCTTGAACAAACAGGGAAATATACACACTTCAAGATAGACAAAAGCTGCTTCCCACCAATACTTCTAAGATAATGTTTCTAAAACTTGCCTGATGATAGGGCTGGAATACTCAATGTTGCTGGTCAAGCATACAGATCAACAATCAAAATGCATAAATACAAAATGATAAGAGACTTCTGCTTTCCAGTTTCACATAAGTCAGGAGCTTGGAAGTTGCCACTCTACCTAACAACAGGTAAAAAGCTGAATAAACTGAAAAACCAACTCTTCTTAGATCCATAAGAGAAGTTAGGTCATAGGGCAAACCACTGCCCCCTAAACTGGAGAGACCAACAGGAGAAGACAGACAATCACAACTTACCAGGGCAGAGACTCATAAGCTGAAAATTCTGTGGGAACCAGTGTTGGGGGAGGAAAACCAGGACTGTAACAGAGATTGCTGCAGGCTTGGTGTAGGCAAGTCAGACAGTTGAAAACCCCAGGGACCCAGTCATAGGGGACCCCATACTTTTGTGAGTTTTACCTCTAGGAACCTGACCAGGCCTCACAGTGAATATTGGAGAAAAATCCCCTTGTGTTTCCAATAGCAAGAAGGGAAAGGAAGCATTCCAAAATATACCAGTGCACTCTGTTCTTTTCTTTCTCCTTCCTTCCTTCCTTCCTTCCCTCCCTCCCTCCCTCCCTCCCTCCCTCCTTCCTTCCTTCCTTCCTTCCTTCCTTGATGGAGTCTAGCTCTGTCACCAGGCTGGAGTGCAGTAGTGCAATCTCAGCTCACTGCAACCTCCGCCTCCTGGGTTCAAGCAATTCTCCTGCCTCAGCCTCCCGAGTAGAAGGGATTACAGTCACGTGATGCCACGCCCAGCTAATGTTTGCATTGTCAGTAGAGACGGGGTTTCACCATGTTGGCCGGGATGGTCTCAATCTCTTGACCTCATGATCTGCCCATCTCGGCCTCCCAAAGTGCTGGGAGTTCAGGCGTGAGCCACCGCGCCCGGCCAATAACTGGTAGGTCAGAAGTATAGGTAACAAACTACTACTTTCAACTGGCATCTGAATTGGGGACAGTCTTATGGGACTGAGCCCTTCAACCTGTCAGATCTGACGCTTCCTCCTGGCAAACTGTGTTGGAAATGAATTAAATTTTAGGACTCCCAGCTGATGCCTGCTAGAGAACTGACTGGTTGTCGGGGCAGAGGTGGGCTGGGTGAGGAAGAAATCCCTATGCATTTTGGTGATCAGAGGTGAAGTATTCTGTTTAAAAATTTTTTCTGATCTGAAATGGCTGCAACACTGTAGGATTCCAAGTATGTGACATTCTGGGAAAGGCAAAACTACGGAGACAGTAGAAAGACTAGCTGCTGTCAGGAGTTGGGGTGGGGAGGAAGGGATAATAGCTGGAGCACAGAGGATGTTCAGGGCAGTGAAACTATTCTGTGTGATACCGTAATGGTGGATACGAGATAGTATTTGTCCAAACCCATAGGATGTAACAATCCTGAGAGTGAACCCTAAAGTAAACCACGGACTCAGGGTAATGACGCTCAGAGCAGGTTCGCTGACTGTAAGAAACGTACCCCCTGGTGGGTGCGGATGCTGGGGGAGGTGACGGTGAGGTGGGTAGGGGATATATATAGCCTCTCAATTCTGATGTGAACCAGAATCTCCTCTAAAAAAAGAACTTTTTTTTTTTCTAAAAAGTGAAAAAATAAGGAGAAACAGACAAATTCATCATCAGAGGGGGAGTTTTGTTTTGGTTCTTGTTTTTGTTTTTTTAAGAAACTGTATGAATAGGCTAAGCCAACAGGAAGAATTAGCAAAGACACACAAAATATTAACCACACGGCCAACAGGTATAGCTAAGTGGATGGCATGTGGAACTGTGCACTAGGGGATTAGACGGAATCTTCTCAAGCACAAGAGAACATTCAGAAACCAGCACACACAGGGGCCACAACACAAGTCTCTGTTCACAGATCCAGATTGGGACAGACCATACTCTCCAACCACTGGGTAATTAAGTTATAAGCGAATAACAATAAGTTAATATGAAAAAGTACCATCCAATTTAAATTTGGAAATTTAAAACTTCTAAGTAATTCTAGATAATTAACTTTTAGGTAATTACTTCTAGATAATTCCTGGGCTAAAAAATCCAAAATGGAAATTAGAAATTGTTTACAAGTAAATGATGTCAAATTTTGCAGCAAAAACAGTCAGAGGAAAATGTATAGCCTTAAATTCTTAAATCAGAAAATAAGCTAAACTGCTAAGTGAGACCAAGAAAAACAGAATAAATCCAAAGGAAAAAGAAGAGAAGAAGGGAATAAAGAATGGACAAAAACTGATAAAACAAAAAGACTACAGAGGATCAACACAGCCAAACTGGATCTGAGATGGTTCTTAGATACAACATGTAAAATCCCAACAGTGTCTTACATGGAACTTGACAAGCTGAGGCTTCAAAACACACCTAACGACAAAACCAAGATGGGGCCTCTTACCCATCAGATACCTGTGAGAGACAGCATGATACTCCTGCAGGACTGGGCAATTTTTATAAATTTTTTAAATTTTAAATTCTTAAACTTTTTGTAGAGATAGAGTCTCACTATGTTGTCCCGGCTGATCTCAAACTCCTGGGCTCAAGGGATCCTCTTGCCTTGGCCTCCCAAGGTGCTATGATTACAGGAACGAGCCACTGCACCTGGTCTGGGCTGGACAATTTGACCAACAGAACAGAATTAAGAGACACAAACACATGCCAACATGTAACAGAGATGAATTCGTGTCTTAGTCTGTTTTCTGTTTTTTTGTTTGTTCTTTTTTTTGTTTTCTGTTTTTTGTTTTGTTTTGTTTTGTTTTTTTTGAGACAGTCTCACTCTGTTTCCCAGGCTGGAATGCAGTGGCGTGATCTCGGCTCACTGCAACCTCCGCCTCCTGGTTTCAAGCTATTCTCCTGCCTCAGCCTCCAGAGTAGCTGGGATTACAGACGCGCGCCACCACATTTGGCTAATTTTTGTATTTTTAGTAGCAACGGGGTTTTGCCATGTTGGCCAGGCTGGTCTCAAACCCCTGACCTCAGGTGATCCGCCCGCCTCAGCCTCCCAAAGTGCTAGGATTACAGGCGTGACCCACTGCGCCTGGCCGGGAATGGGTAAAATTTTTTTTCTTTTTGAGACGGAGTCTTGCTTCGTCGCCAGGCTGCAGTGCAACAGCACGATCTCGGCTCACTGCAACCTCTGACTCCCTGGTTCAAGGGATTCTCCCACCTCAGCCTCCCAAGTAGCTGGGATTACAGGCACACGCCACAACACCCAGCTAATTTTTTTTATTTTATTTTTAGTAAAGACGGGGTTTCACCATGTTGGCCAAGATGGTCTCGATCTCCTGACCTCGTGATCTGCCCACCTCAGCCTCCCAAAGTGCTGGGATTACAGGCATGAGCCACGATGCCCTGCCTGGGAATGGGTAATTTTTAAATAAAATTTATTTCTTACAATTCTGTAGGCTGGAAAGTTCAAGGTCAAGGGGCCACATCTGTTCTGGGCCTTCTTGCTGGTGGGGACTTTTCCCAGAGTCCCAAGGTGGCGCAGAGCATCACATGGCCAGGGGGCTCATGAGGGCCAAACTGGCTTCTGTAACAGCCCCACTCTCATGATAACTACCCCACTTCTGTGATAACCCATTAATCCATTAACCCATTCATGAGGGCAGAGCTCTCATGACTCGATCACCTCTAAAAGGCCTTACCTCTTAATACTGTTACACTAGGGATTAAGTTTCAACATGAGTTTTGGAGGGGACAAACATTCAAATCATAGTAATTAGTATCAGAAGACATAAGAATGATACAAAACAGTAAGAAAAGGACCAATAACCTCATGGGAAAGGGGGAGAGATGGGGGCACAGAATCACAGCTGGAAGCAAGCACTTGACAAGATGCTCAGTCTCAGGAGAGGTTGGAAAAAGGGACATTCAAACCACAGCAATCAGCACTTCACATTCATTGACTGATGAAAGGGAAGAATCCAACAATACAAATGCAGGTGTATGTGCAAATACACAGCACACCCAAAATGTGGTAGAAGAAGAAGAAATTTGCATAGACATTTCTTTCTTTTTTTTTAAGAGTCTGGGTCTCACTCTGCTGCCCAGGCTGGAGTGCAGTGGTGTGTTCATGGCTCACTGCAGCCTCAAACTCCTGGGCTCAGGTGATTGTCTCACCTCAGCCTCCCCAGTAGCTGGAACCACAGGCTTGCATCACCATGCTTGGCTAATTTTTAAAAGTTTTGTAGAAATAGAGTCTCACTATTTTGCCTAGGCTGGTCTGGAGCTCCTGGGCTCAAGTGATCCTCTTGCCCTGGCTTCCCAAAGTGCTGGGATTACAAGTGTGAGCCACTGTGCCTGGCCATATAGACATTTCTGATATGGCTACTATGAAGATAAAAGTGAGCCTAGAAGGTCTGTGTCTGCCACCTGAGAAAGGCCTGCCTACAGAGCTGGCCATTAGCTGGCATCCAGGAGCTGAAATGTCCCCTGTGCTAAGAGGCCGGGAAACCCAGCTCTGTGGCAGCAGCCCCCAGTGGGCTGTTGAACAAACACTGTGGCTTATGCAGGTGGAACACCAGCTTTCCTCCTGGGGAGTCAGGAATTGCGGCACGTGCCAGGCAGAGGGTGCCTATGTGATGGGCTTCCCCTAGGGAGGGACATTTCACACATGTGGCTGCATTTTTTTCCTGGTGGGGGAGAGTGTGCTGTGTCCCCTCATGGGAGGCAGGGAGGAAGCTTCAGCAGCCTGCCCATGGATGATTGAAGACTCCGCCTGAGCTTTTGCTCCTCGCTGTGTCACTGCTACAAACCTTAGACAAGATGATAACTCGATGCCGAGTCTCATGAGTCCTTCTAGGGCCCCAGAATGTGTGGGCAGTGTTGGGAACCCCCGACAGTCACTCACATATATCCTACACAACCCAGCGATTCCACTTGCAGGTATATGGCCTAAAGAAACTTGCAAATGTCCACCTAGAGACAACACAAAACAACTCACAGTTCAGCAAAAGACACTCCACATCACTAGCCATTAAGGAAATGCAAACCAAAACCACAGTATACCACCTCACACCTACTGGGATGAAAAAAATGAAGAATAACAAGCTTTGGCAAGGATGTGGAGAAAACAGAACCCCATGCACTATGGGTGGGAATGTGTAATAGTGCAGCCACTGCAGAAACAATACGGTGGTTACGCAGAATATCAAAAATAGAATCATCACATGACCCAGCAATTCCACTTCCGTGTATATCCCCAAAAGAAGTGAAAGCAGGAACCCAAACAGATATTTGTACACCCAGGTTTATAGCAGCATTACTTGCATCTCCAAAAGGTGGAAACAACCCACGTGTCCACGGGCAGGTGAAAGGATGAGCAAAATGTGGCCCATCTATACACAACAGAGTATCATTCAGCCATAGGAAGGAAGCAGAGTCTGACATGCACTACAGCATGGGTCAACCATGGGCACACTATGCTGGGCAAAATAAACCAGACACAAAAAGACCCTGTCTCTACAAAAAAAAAGTTTTTAAAAATGGCTAAGATGGTAAATTTCTTATGATGTGTGTTTTACCACAATTAAAAAAAAAAAAAGAATATTAGTGGAACAACTGGGAAAAAAATTACAGCAGCATTGTTGGTAAGAAGGAAACCTAACTGCCCGTCCCAGGAGAACAGACAAACAGCTCGGCTCCCAGGCAGGCACTGAGGCAGTGACAGTGACCACATGTGGGTCGTCCCAGAAGCACAGCTTGGGTGAAAGCACACTGACGACTACATACACGTGGCGTGTTTCCGTGAAGTTTGGAAACAGGCGCAACGAAGCGATCTGCTGAGTCAGGACACAGAAGAGACCAAACTAGAAAGAAACATGCTGGCGAAGGGCAGACACAGACTCCCTGCCCCATCACTGAGGTGGGGCCAGGGCAGTGGTGAGGGAAGGCAGGGCTGCGGCCTCAGTGGGGCCTCTTTTTCTACACACAGCTGCAGCCGTCTCTTCTCTTTTCCATCGAGTTCTTAAAGGGTGACCAGCAGGCGGCGCTGGCACAAAGGAGAAGGCCTTCCTGACTGTGTCCAGGGCGCCAGCCACAGGGAAAGGCCTGAGGAAGAGGGCAGGGTCCCCTCTGCACCCAGGTCTCTGCCCTGTGTCTGAAGGAGATATTGGCAGGGGCAGGAGAGCTGGTCAACGTGAAGGCCCCAAGCTCAGTAGGTACCCACAGGCCTCAATGCTCAATTCAATGTTAATCCCTGCTCCTCCTTCTCCAGCTGGTGTGGGGAGAGTCCGCTGGAGAATCTTGGAACACTTCGACAGAAGGCTGCCTCCCCACGTTCCAAGTGCACCTCCTGCCTATCTGATGGAAGTGGTGGGAGGGTGTGGATCCCGAGTCTCCTTCCAGTGGCACAGGCTCTGCACCCAGGAAATGGGGCAAAGGGGTGTGGGAGGGGAGGGGCACTGACTCAGCCACCGCAGAACAGGGCCGCCTGCCACAGTGGAGCTACTGGAGACACAGAGTGTCTTCCACTAAGACAATCTGTGGAATCAATCCGTGCACACAGATCAGTCTATGCACGGCCCGACATTTGACCCGAACGGGCTGTCTGGGAGATGTGTGAAGCCTCACCTCCACACAGCTGTTGACTTCCTCTCCCGTGAGTCTGGACTGCACAGCTTTCTCAAGTGGCTCTGTGGCAAGCTGCACTGCGTGCTGAATCCGTTCGAGCATCTGCTTTTTATCGGGATCCGTGGTCTCATTTAATTTTACTGAAAATGGCTGCAACCATAAAGAGACGTCAAATCTATTAGATACTGCTCAGCAAAACCTAAATTCATAAAGGTGATTCCAGGTAGAAAACAGAACGGTTTTTCCCATGGCCCCATAGAGATAGAGAAGTGTGCAACCCAAGTGGCCAGGCAGTAAGGAACTAAGAGAGACTGAAGCTCCCGGCTCAGGAGCTCCTGGTTCTGCCCTCTCACGTGTGACCCTGGACAGGGCACCTAACCTCTCTGTGCCTCAGTTTCTCCAATGCAAATTGGGTGTGAGAGCAGTATTTCTAGGGCTGTTCTGGGGATGAGGAAAAGTAGGCCACCCAGTGTGTTCTGAGGTGTGCTGCAGACACATCCATCAGGAAGGTACTCAGGCCTCACTGACCTAAAAGATTGCTCAGCTCTAATTTTATTCCTGTTTTTAATTCCAGAGATAAAATGCCATAAGCATATCCATAATGATTACTGTAATTACTAAGGATAATTAGTAGAGAGTAAAATGACCTATTCTTACTATTGTAATAAAAATAAGTATATAACGATGGTTATTCAGAATGAAAATACTAGAGAGAACTAATTTCTTCAAAAGATTCTGAAAATTTACAGTATTACCAAATTAAAAAGCTTAGTATAGCTTTTGTATCTTGGGCAGAAGTTTCTGATTTAGTTGTAACCTTGGCATTGAAAATTAGACAGCAATATTGGTAAGCATTTTTATAAGTGTAATTAGTGGCACTGTGATGAATTCAGTTGTTTTCCTGTAAGTGGCAGGAATGTCACCTACTCTCCACTCCACTCCAGTACATCTTTGCTGGTGACTTTGTCACAGGCCAGGGGACCTTACCTATGGAGACTTCAGCGCCCCTGACGGAACTGGCTTGAGTAACATACACTTTGTGAAAGCCTGTGAGACTGACACTACCCTAGGGACAGTAGCCTACAAAGGACCGAGAACAGAAAGCAAAGGGCTCGGTTTCTAGAGCAGACAGCAAGAGGCCCACCTTCAGGGCGGCCTGAACATCCTCCAAGAGCTGTGCCGCTTCAGGCCTCTTCTCCCGATACTGCTCGAACAGGTGGTTCTGCCGGGCCCTCTTGATGATCTGGGGAGGGAAGGCAGACATTGGGGAGTGATGCTTGGATCCCACATGCATCCCTCTGCAGCAGGCCACTCTCTCCCTTGGCCAACTCTAAGTGAGGGTGAGGGTGGTGGGAGACAACTGTGGGCCCCGGACGTGCACACCATCATCAAATAGAAACACCACCCTCCATCTCCCACCTGCCAAGTAGTGCCCAAGGCCTAACGTGATCTTTCTGACGCTTAATGAAATGAGCCCTGGGGGCCCCAGCTTCCCCTGCAAGCCACATGTCGAAGTGCGTGCTGTGGGAGGCCTTCCTTCTGCAAAACACCCAGGGCTACCGACCCCTGAGCAACATGCAGGTTTCTAACCGTGTCTGAACATCATAGAAATGATCATATCAGTAGCAGAAGTGGTAATATTAACTCACTGAGGGGATTAAAATGATGTTTATCAGGTGAAAACACAAGCTAGCTCAAGCCTACATTATTTACTTATGCGAAAGTTCTATCTTCTTTTACACCATCCAATTGCATTTAAAATTTAATCTTACAAATTCCCTTTACCTTGTCATCAATATCCGTAATGTTCATGCAATAAAAGACATCAAATTTGAAGTAATCCTTCAACACTCTTCTCAAGATATCAAAAGAGATGTAGGACCTAAAGCAATGAAAAAACAAACATTTCCACACCAGACGATATGTATAGCTTAACCTCCAACAACACGTGTTTGAACTGCATGAGTGCATTTATATATGATTTTCTCTGCCATCCCTGAAACAGCAAGACCCCCCCTTCTCCTCCTCAGTCTACTCAACGTGAAGATGGCAAGGATGATGACCTTTATAATGATCCACTTCCACCTAATGAATAGTAAATATATTGCCTCTCCCTTATGATTTTCTTCATAATATTTTCTTTTCTCTGGCTTCCTTTATCATTAGGAATACAGTATGTAATGTATATACAAAATATGTGTTCATTGACTGGCATGCTATTGGTCAACAGGAGGCTATTTTAGTGGTGAAGTTTTTGGGGAATCAAAAGTTATGTGTGGATTTTCAACTGTGCAGAGGGTCACACCCTCTACCCTCCAGGTTGTTCAAGGGTTGACTATACATGACCTTGGCACTGCAACTAAAACATGAACACATAAAAGGACTCTGTGGCATTTACCCCAACAGCCAGCTACTCGTCAGGAGCTACAGCCATGACCATCCAGTGGTCGGGGGGCGGTCACAGCCAACCCAGCGTCAGGCCTGTCAGGTCTGAGTGTCATGGGAACTCAGCATCTGGGGACCCCACGAGAGCTTGAGGGATGAGAGAAAACTTTAAGGTATGTGAGAAAAAGTGCCCAGGTCGAGTCCAGCATGTTAGCAGTGGGGCTATGGACATTTTCTTTTTGGTGATCTGTAGTCTTTCTGCAGTGAATATAGATTACTTATGGAATTAAAATTTTCATCTTAAAAATAAGAGAAGAAATTCAGTCTCGATTCCTCAAATCTCAGGTCTCTGTAGCAGATCTAAGATCTTTGTGGACCTAAGATCGCTGCTGTGGATCCCAATGGCTCTGACTTCTGCGTGCAACTGCAGAAGCTGCAGGGACACCCCGCGGTGGACCTACCTGGCGTGCCCCATGTGAGATGCGTCATAGACGGTTGGCCCACAGCAATACCACGTCACCTTTTTCCCATCTTGAGGTATGAACACTTCCTTTGTTAGGAATGAAGGAATGACGATCACAAGAAATGCAAGAAACACTGCACAGGATTACCAAAAACAGCAACAAACATCACAGTGTGGTTTGTGTTTAGTGTAAACAATTCAACAGAGACCATTTTGTTTTACTGTGAAAAGTCACAGTCTCAGTGGGAGCCCAGTGAGATGTACGGCACCTCCCACCAACTGAGCCCTGGGTGGGTGGGGCCTCTTCCTCCCTGGGGTTCTACTCATCTATGGAGGGAGACGATAAAGGGAATCAATGATTTTATTGATTGTTGAAATGCTGCTTATTTAACAATAACACAGCTAATATTTACTGAGTACCTACCATGTGCCAGGCCCTGAGCTAAATATTCAATATGCAGTACACTCTAGGACGTAGGTTATGTCATTTTCTTTTTACGGATGAAGAAACTGAGGCAGACAACACTTGGCCAGGGTCAGTCCCTGTTGGGGGAGCGCGGCTTGGAGGCCAGGACCCCTGAATCGTGGTGCTGCTCTGGCACCACTCCCCAACATCCCAGCACCCTCAGACCTCTCTGGGGGCATCATCCTCAACCAGTTTCCCAAGGAAGGCCATGAACTCCCTCACACCTGACTCTCTGTCTGCCAAACATGCTCCCTGATGGAAATCCAAGCAGCCCCGCCCAGAGCCTGGTCTGAAATCACTGGAGTCACTGGCCATGCCCTGAGCCAAGCAAACCATGCAAACCCCATTCTGTTAGGAACCAATCCTGCCTTCTTCTCAAAACCTGCTGTGCTCCCAACAACATCCAGCCAGTTTGCCGTTTTGTCCATCCTGCTTGGCTCATACAGTGCCACCTGCTGCAACCACGCGTCCTCCTGAAAGGCGTGGCTGTGGATGACCTCCAGTACTCATGGTTGGGCAGAGTCCGAGAGACAAGCCAGGGTGATCCATGCCCAGAAGTCATGGGCAGGCTTCCACATGAGGCATGATACTTCACGTGTCTGGGTTTCAGAGGACAGCTCTGCCTCTGGGCCACAGAGACTATAACATGGAAGTGACTGAAGGATCTTAAACCTGGATTTATGGAACTCCAGATCCCAACACAAGGAACAGAGAAGTCTGTTGTGCGACAAGGCACATGGGCTGTCCTGCCTCCTGCCTCCCCATTGTGTGCGTGTGCCACGGCATCTGTGTTCTCCTTACCTTGTTCCTGGTGAGGCTGTTGTAAAGGTGGAGTCTGCATGGCTGGGTCCCAGCAGGAGGGGACCACTGGGGCTGCACACGCCGGCCTTTGCCTGGGAGGCAGAGAGAGCAGGATCAGGGTCCAGGGGCAGCACCAGGAAGTGCAAGTCGCCTCTTCACCTGGAGACTTGGTTTTTACAACGGGACCATAGTTTTCCATGAAATTTAAACAATGTGAAACCACACGAATCTCGGTCAACATTACGCAGGTCAAAGACAACTGCGTCTTTTTTTTTTTTTAGACGGAGTCTCGCTCTGTCGCCCAGGCCAGAGTGCAGTGGTGTGATCTCGGCTCACTGCAAGCTCTGCCTCCCGACAACCGCGTCTTTCTTTTGCTTTCTAATATTCTGTATGGCAGCATACCCCAATAACACCCTTAGAGCCCCAGGAGGGCTGAGGAATGCCTGCACAGCGTGCCCAGCACATTCCACTGCTCTTCAAATACTGGCCCCTTTCTGGCAGTGAGCACACCACCACCTGGCACTCCTGGGTCAGTCAGGGCTTGACACTGACAAGGTATGGTCTGTGCTGCCGCAGCCCTGGGAACCTCCCCCACCCAGGATCCCTCACCTGGACAAACTGAGGATTTTGAGGACTCTTGTTGGGACAGAGGCCACCTCCAAGCCTCCAAGCCCTGGCAGCAGAAGCCAGGAGTCAGAGCAGAAAGGACCCCCTGTGGCCACGGCCAGCAGGCAAGACTGGCTCCAGCCCAGCCCCTCCTCATCACTTCGGACACTGCAGAAGTGAGTGGCTGGCTCCCAGCTCTGGGCCCACAGCCCAGCAGACTCTGATCCAGACACTGGGCTTCAAGCTCCACATAGGTCTATACTGCCTTCATAAATAACCTGAGCTCCTCTCAGCCTCCAGGCAGAGACCCCTGCCAGCCAGCCCCTCAGTGCAGTCACCTCCTCCTGGCCAGACTTCCCTAGTTGTTCCCCTCCACTCGCCTGTGGGCCGCCTGGGCTGCTCTGAGCACACTGCTTCCAGGCCTGGCTTCCAACCTGGCACAAGGCTGTCCTTACACAACCTGCATCTGAGATCCCTGAAGGGGGCAGAGCTCTGTCCCTGGGGCCAGGGGCAGCCACAGGGTGATTATTCACCCTCTGAAACGTCAATCTGGCAAAGCTAGGTGTGGAGGACGGTACCTGGTGACTTTCCCGTTGCCCTCAGCCGGCTCCTGCCTGCCCTGCCCCCTCAGCAGATCCCCACTTTTCTCCACAGTCGTCGCCCACAGGTCCAGGTTCTGCGTTATGCTCTGCTGGGCACCTCTGACCCCAGCTGGTGCCTGGCCCTGGGAAGGGCTTCACATGTCTCTGCTGAGTGGCACCAGGAAGGCCTACGAGATGGATACTCCTAGCACTGACCTGTGCCCACCCCAGCAGGCCGCCTGGCAGCTCACCAGGGTGCTCGCATCCTGCCTCCTCCTGTCCCTGGTTTCTGTGCCAGAGGGTCTGGCAGCATGGCCAGCAAATTGCCACACACTGATCACGGGGAAGTTGGTCCTGGGCACCAGCCATCTCTTGGCCTCCCGGCTCTAGCTCAGGCCACACGAGCCAGGACGGCAGACGCTGATGACTAACAGGCCAAGGGGAGGAAGGAGGGCGGCTGCACTGTGTCTGGGCAGTGGGGGTACTGTGGGCAGGTGGGAGATGGGGCAGGAGACGGAGAGAGGGCCAGTGCTCAGCAGGAGCCCCCACTCTAGGTGAGTTCCAGTGGTCACAGGTGGTCAGATTCTAAAGCGTAGGCAATCTCCAATCTTAATCAGACATCATGTGCTTATTGAGGCCAAGTGCAGCTCGGCCTCAGTGTACTTTAAATGCCTCACAAGCCCTTGAAGGAGAATCTCACTCAATGCCTGGAGGCATTCAACCCGCCACTCTAGGATCCCATCACTCTCCTCCCTCACAAAGACCCTGGAGCTCCTTCAATAGGACACTGCTGCCATCTCAGACAGCTGGAGACGCTGCCCAGAAACACAGCCATGAGGCCACGGGATCATCACACTCACCCTGCTATGAGGAAACGGCCCAGGGTTCACAGGACTGAAAGCTTGTCCAAGAAGCCTGGCCACAGCCAGCATTCCTGCTCCCCTAAGGCTGCTATCTCCACACAGCTGGCGATGGGCTCCCCAGGAAAACGGGTTACCAGGCCCAGATATACAAATTCAGATTTGCAAAAGGGAAGAACTGAGAGATATCACATAAGGACCCTTGCCCCCCTTTTTTTTTTTTAGATAAAATCTGGCTGAAGTGCACTGGCGCAATCTCAACTCACTGCAACCTCCGCCTCCTGAGTTCAAGCGATTATCCTGCCTCAGCCTCCCAAGTAGCTAGGACTACAGGCACCTGCCACCACGCCCCACCAATTTTTGTATCTTTAGTAGGGATGGGGTTTCACCATATTGGCCAGGCTGGTCTCAAACTCCTGACCTTGTGATCTGCCTGCCTTGGCCTCCTAAAGTGCTGGGATTACAGGTGTGAGCCACCGCGCCTGGCCTGTGCTTTTGTTTCTTTGGAAAAAATGAACACACATTCGTTGATTCCAGAGTCCCACCCTGACCTGAGTGATCCAACAACAGACCAACTATGAACCGCTCATGAGAGACATGGCTTTGAAACAGGGATGTGGGAGGCTGAAGATAAAATGATGGAGAGGGAAGCCAGGAAGTGGCAAGCAGTCTGCCTACAACACACCAGATGCAGATAGGACCCAAGCAAGGGGTTCATGGAGAGAAATCCTTCATCAGGAAGTTAAGGGTCCTCCATCGGAGGGGTGAGAGCAACACCAAACCTTCATGTTCCTGAAACTATGGCCTCGGCGTCTGACAGACCCACACCCTCCTCAGTGAAGGGTATAGCTGACACTCCTTCCCGGGGGGTAGGGAGAGGCCGGCGGGCTGGAAGGGCTGAGCCTCCACTGCGGGTGAGAAGTGCTCAACAAGTTCAACGTCCTGATATCCAGTGGACCTCCGTGCTGGAGGCTGGTGATCCAGGGAAGGGATCCACCAGGAAGGGGTCTGGCTTCACAGGAGTAGGGACCTGGGGGTTAAGCAGAGCCTTTCCATTATCTCCAACCCCCCACCCCGAGACGGAGTCTCGCTCTGTCACCTAGGCTGGAGTACAGTGGCACGATCTCGGCTCACTGCAAGCTCCACCTCCCAGGTTCAGGCCATTCTCCTGCCTCAGCCTCCCGAGTAGCTGGGACTATAGGCACCCGCCATCACGCCCGGCTAATTTTTTGTATTTTTAGTAGAGACAGGTTGTCACCGACTTAGCGAGCATGGTCTCAATCTCCTGACCTCGTGATCCGCCCGCCTTGGCCTCCCAAAGTGCTGGGATTACAGGAGTGAGCCACCGCGCCGGGCCAAGCAGAGTCTTTCCATGTCTGAGAGGATCTTGGAGACAGGACACAGAAGGCACATGGGAGGAGCTGGTAACAGGCGGGCACACTGAGGGCCAGACACAGGCACATCTGATGCTGCTGGGATGTCCAACAGAGGTGGAAGGGCGAGCAGGAGGAGGGGCACATGGCCCACTGTGCCAGCAAGGAAGGTGCATGCTTGGGGAGTATGAGCCATGGAAAGAGAGGGCGTTCCCACTCAGTGGGGGAAGCAGCTCTGATTGTCACAGCTACATGGAGGGAGATCCACAGCTACTGTCATCCCAGGGACATGGGCGAGGACACTACACTGGACTCCATGGCGCCTTGGACCCACTCGAGGTCACTGGATGCTCTAGCAGTCCCAGACTCCAGCTCCCACCTCCCCCTTCAGCCCCTGCTCAGTGTACAGCAAGCTTGAGTGAGGGTCGCCTGACATAATGCCCATCATTCCTGGCACAAGCAGACCCTGGCAGCCTCTTGCGCAGCCTGGGTGATGAGGGGATTTGGAACCTGGGGAGGGCACAGCAACTCCATTAGTGCTATCCATGGTCCATTCTGTTACACAGCAACGTGGCTCTGCTTCCTCTCTGTAGGTTAAAAAGTGTTTGCAAGAGCAAAACCCTTCCTTCCTCTCACAGTGTGGATGGAGGCTTGCGTCTGTGCCGCTCTTTCAACAAGTCCCTATGAGGGAAGCCTGGACAGGCCACTGCTGAGCTGGACGTACCAGGCCCGCTTCACCCTCCCTAATCCTGCCCCCCTCTGGCTGTGTCTTGGAATGGCACATGGCAGGGGGAACAACCTGACACCCGAGCCATTGGAGAGAAGGCACCTCACAGCACAGGTGTCACTTGGGTGACCGCGCTGGAGGCTCAGGCAGGAACGGCTACATGGGGAAGGACGTGACCTGCACAGCAACGGCCTCTGCCCTACGCTGGGGAAGGAGTGTCTGCTGCAGAGTTATCCAGAAAACACGACCCACAGGAGATGTGACATCCCCACCTCCAGCCTGGTTAAAACAGTGATCTAGCAGAGGCCTGACCCACGGCAGAGGCGGGGGGGCATGTTCCCAATCCCAGGCCCCAACGGAGTCTGGAGAAGCCCCCAGAAGGCTGCCAGCTACAGCCAGGACCACCAGAAAACAGCACTAAACCTGCCCCCACATGAAGGTGGAGGAGTGCCCACAGCCACAGGAGGAGTTGGGCCACCCAAAGGCATACTTCAGTGATGATGGCATGGAGCCCCTTCAGATTTGCCACAGAGTGACAAAGCCATGCAGGCATCCCAGGAGTATCTCCCGCAAATAACCACAGGCACGTTCCACAGACACAACCAGCACCAACAGGCTGGAGCTACGGGACAGACATCATCTCAAAGAGAAAAAATGACTTATTTCTGATTTTTAAAAAGTTCAATGCCGGCCGGGCGCGGTGGTTCACACTTGTAATCCCAGCACTTTGGGAGGCCGAGGCGGGTGGATCACGAGGTCGGGAGATCGAGACCATCCTGGCTAACACGGTGAAACCCCGTCTCTACTAAAAATACAAAAAATTAGCCAGGCATGGTGGTGGGCGCCTACAGTCCCAGCTACTCGGGAGGCTGAGGCAGGAGAATGGCATGAACCCGGGAGGTGGAGCTTGCAGTGAGTGGAGATCGCACCACTGCACTCCAGCCTGGGCGATAGAGCGAGACTCCATCTCAAAAAAAAAAAAAAAAAAAAGTTCAATGCCAATTAATACTTTAGGATTCAACAATTCTAAAGCTGGAGGATAGACACGCTACAATCTTATGGAAGAAATAAAGAGAAAGAACTGAGTCAACCAGAGCCAGGCACAGCCTTAGCTAAAAATCACAAGGCTAGGGCCCGTGGCCTGGGCATGCTACGTGGAACCCCAGAGCCGCAGCGGCTCTGCACCCCACCACCTCAGGCAATCCTGCCACACCAGTGATGTGAACATACTGCTCCTGAATAACCAACTCCATAGGGCGTGATTTTATCCCAACCTCCATCCAGCAAGCGCTGCATCTGCCCATCCAGGCCACTTGCTCGAGACACACTTGGGCGAGGCTCCCTCTGGGGTATCCGCAGACGCCAGGTAAGCACCAGGGTGATGGAGAAAGCCCTTGACCTTGGGAGAGAGGTTCTAATGGCCAGGGAACCCACTCTGTTACTCACTTGCTTGGAGCCTGCAGGGCTGGCCTTTGCCACAGGGGCTACCCAGGAGCGCTTCTATGTGCCTGAACCACCGAGCCACGTGGAAGAGCTGGGGGTCAGCGGGCGGGGCCGAGAGCTGCCTGAACGCGTCCACGTCTGCCTGGGACAGTGAGTACCCCTGGACATAGCTACGCGTGCTGAGGTGCTCGTTCAGGGCTTGTGCCCTGGCTGCCTCGTCACTAATGCTCAGAATGGACCTGTAGTCAGGAGCTGCAAAGACAGAGGGCACATGGTGTCAGGCAGGCAGGCGGGCAGCCCAGAGGCCGCCAGAAAGACAGGGACTAGGGGATGGCACAGAACCAAGGAAAAAGGTGTTCAAGCCCTTCCCTGGACGCCAAACATCCAGAACAGGCAAAGGCACAGGGGCAGCGCTTCGACTGGGGGCGAGGGAGTGACTGCCTGACAGGTATGGATGGGTTCCCTCTTGGGTGATGAAAATGCTTTGGAACTAGACAGAAATGAAGGCTGCATGACAACATCATGCGCCAAATACCACAGAATTGTGTACTTTTCACTTTATGTCATATAAATTACTTAGTTTTTACATTTTTAATTTATGTTTTCTATCAGGGAAAGCAGGAACACAGTTCCACACCATCACAAATTACACAGTTCAGTTTCTGACATTTGGGGAAATCATAGGGGTCAGCACATCTGGAGTATAACGGATAAGCCTCGCCTTGGGAAAGCTACCTACATGATCATGGTATCCCTCCTGTCAGCTAAGTATGTTACGAGAATTTAACCTCAATTTTTAAAAACTCACAACAGAAATCCCCCAAACCAAACCAACTTCAAGCCTCTTTGCCGCAGCGGCACCCTCTCCCTCTGGGTGCTGGGGGATGAGGGGTAGGAGAACCCCACATTGACAATGTGTGCCATTTACACCCCTGCACCAAGAGACAGCTGGACTCTAGCATGACTTCTGCAGGTCAAGGCCACAGCCTCAGGAGGACTGGGCCCCCTCAAAGGACCAGCCCAAGAAAGCACAGGGCTGCCAGGAAAATGTGGCTGCTCCAGCCAGCCTCACCTGGCCCCTGGCCCCTGGCCCCAGGCCCCAGCCTCCCTCCTTAGAGCCTTCAAAGCAGTAAGCGTGCACCTCCACCACTCAGGTGTGTCACTCAAGGACCCAAGAGCCACTGTTCCGCATGTCACCATTGGGAGGAGGAGCAGAACCCTAACTTTCACCACTGCCAGCTGTAGACAAGGCCGCCTTGACACATGCACGCTGACCAGCTCCATGGCTTTTTTCATTTGAGCCCCTGCTCACCCTCCTTCTCCTCCTCCATTCTCCCTTTTTTATTTTTATTTATTTATTTATTTATTTATTTTTATTTTTTAGAGACAGCGTCTGACTCTACTGCCCAGGCTGGAGTGCAGTGGTGCAATCAAGGCTCATCACAGCCTCAAAATGCTGGGCTCAAGTGACCCTCCAGCCTAAGCCTCCTGAGTAGCTGGGACTACAGGCACATGCCACCAGGCCCAGCTAATCATACTCCCTTTAAATCCAAAAGTCACCTCTGCTGAACTGGCAGGGAACACAGCTCCTTCCCCTACTGTCAGGAATTAAGGAATAAAATCTGTCTCACCATTCTAAGGAATATCTCCCTGCAATTACCTCTGACACGGGAGTTGTGGACCAGGTGCTGTGTCCACAGCCCACGTCCCTAAAGTGGGGGCAGACCAGGCAGATGGTGCCAGGCTTCTGGCCAGAGGAGGGAGTCTGGTCCCTGAGCCCATGAGCACAGGTGCATCCAAACCTTGAACCAGTGATTGTGTTTGCTGAGAGGACTGTGGGAAAAGGACCGATGCTTGCTCCTTCCAGACAGATACCCTCTCACCCCAGAGTTCACTCAGGGTAGGAATGCACATGTCTGGCCACCCCTTGCTGTGCCAGCTGCCCTTCCTGGGCACAGGCTGCCCGACATCACAGCCATGGGGCGTGGATGCCCTGCACATCACAGTCCCCCTCTCTGCCTTCTCCCATTCCCTTTTGTCCCCCATCTCCGTGTTTACTCCTGGCACAGAGCCAGAGTCACCCCAACCAAACCCACACAGCTTCTGAAAACAGAGAGCAGAGTGTGTTGCGGGGGTAACTGCACACGAATGCCTTTCTCTGCTTTGCTTAGTGTGGGGAAAGCCCTTCGTGTCAGGCCAATAACTGGCACTTCCCGGAACGCTGTGGTGTCAGCAAAGATGAGTCAGAATGGAGTGCACAGCTGCAGCAGCAAGAATGCCCCACTGGGCCGAGCTCTTCACCCGCCAGGGGAGCCTACGGAGCCACGTGATGCCCCAAGGCCCAGCCTCCGTGGCTGCCGGAGAAGATGTCCTGAAAGCCACCTCTTCTCTGCAGTAAAGGGGTGGGCACTCTGTGGGAAAGCCTTCCTGAAGTCTCAACATGGATGCAGGGCTTAAAATGGCTTCCTTGGGATGACTCTCGCTGGTGGGATGACGAGTGCAGCGTCCCTCTAACTTGCCCTGCTTCCTTCCCACTGCACGGAGCCACTGTCCCATCTGACCCCAATAAGATGGCCACCCACTCCAAGCAGCCACAGGCACCCAGAAGCAAAGCTCTGGGCACACTCCCTAGCCAAAACTGGAATCACACCCCTTTACAAGTTATCCTTAGGAGCACCCATAGCCAACCCACGGGAGGATCCGGGGCCTCTAACTCAAAAGAAGCTTTGGACTTGAGAGCCAGCCCTTGTCACCTGGATTCCTGCAAGCCAGACACCGCCACCTGTAGCCAGCATGGCTCTCCCCTCACAGCCACAGGCCTCCAGCGGCCCTGCTGAAAAGCGCACGTTCACATTACTGCCCCCAACACCCACCTCGCCAGCAGCACAAGCCTGTCCTCATGCTGGCCATGGGCCCCCACCTGACTCACAATACCCTAGTCACATGGCCCCTCCACCTGCTGCTCTTTTTTTAGGGGGCATGCTCCCCAGATACCAGCAGGCCCCTTAATCCTTCACAGCTCTGCTACGTGCCGGCTTCCCCACCAGGTCTTCAAGGACTCCCTGTCCATATGGCGCCCGCCTCTAGACCCTGAGCCTGGCTGCTCTTTCTCTCCGCAGCACCCCTGTCTAACACGTGCCCGCATTTCTTTCCTTCACCATCTGCCCCACCGCTCCATCTACCTTATTCACTGCTCGATCTTCAGCATCTACAACTGAGCGTGTGACATTCCAGATATCAGCTAAAGTTGCCTAGGGCACAGATGAGTGGACAGCAGAATGGCACCACAGAGTGCATGCCACCAGTGGTGGGCTGGCGTTCCCCTGTGGCACTGGGCCTCATGCACCCTTCTCAGAAAGACACCTGCACAAAGACCAGTGCTGGGAACCGGCCACAGCCTCTGCTGCTTTGAGCCCCCAGGGGCTTGCTTAGCAGGAGCCCTGCTGCCCAAAGATACCAGAGACACAAGAACAAGTCACTTTTCACTTCAGCTCTTCCAACAGTCCAAGGAAAGAGAAAGACAGGGGTGGACTCTGGCCCCACTGAAGGCGCCTGGGGGGTGCCGGGAGCTCTTGAGGGCCTCTCACCTGCCCCATCCCTACAGTTACAGGCCCAGTGTCAGCACTGACACTGCCGGGGCTTCCCTCTGAGAAGGAGGAGGCTGCTTACATGGAGATGCGCTCTCCTCCCAACTGGAGATGAGATCAGGGAGGACGGAGGCGGAGGCAGACCCACAGAGGCAGCTCCAAGCACCCCAAAGCGAGGTCCTGGAAAACTAACTCTAAATAAATATCAGACTCCTACAAACTCTTTTGCAGAGCAACTTCCAGCCAGGAGACTTCTAGTTTAGCTGGATATTTCCCTCCAACAGCTCTGCAGCTGCCAGCAGGGGTCCCATTTCATGATAAAGAAAATGAAGTTCACTAAAGATTAGAGAACTTGCCAGAGGGATGGACAGAGCTGGAAGGTGAGCCTTGTCCCCTCACAGATCAGGCCACAGTTCGAAAGCTGTTCCCCAATGCTGACCCTCCACATTCCTCTCCCCTGTCCCCTCCCTGAGCCTTGGTCTTCTGCAACTGCTCATGCCTGGGTTGGACTCCACGACAGCAAGAGGGAAGAAGAGACAACAGCAGCACCCTGAGAAACAGTGACACAGCATCGGCTTCCAGCTGAGACAGCGAGCTGACAGTCACGTGCCTCTCACACTCAGAATGGATTCTGATGGAGAGACCACCAGCAACAGCCCGAACACTGACAGTGACGATGGTTGATGAGAGGGGGTGACAGGTGATTTTAATTCCCTCTTTTTCTTCATTGCTCACATTTTCTGCAGTAAGCATCTGCTATTTTTAAAATGAGAAAAACATCAAATGTCCTAACGGCGGCTGCAGTGGCTTTTGAGTGCTGAGGAAGCAGTCTGGGAACTGAAGCCGCTGTGTATCCGCTCTCTGGAGACCTGAGGGGCGGCCCCGACGCCCTCCAGGGCTGAGTACCTACACTCACACACACGGCGGCATTTCCTCACGGTAAAACACGCTCATAACATCAGCCCTGTAAAGCTGCAGGCCATTAAGTCAAATGACACTTGTAAAATGTTTAAAAGCTGCCTGGCACAGAGCCAGGGGCCCCATTTGCCATCATTATTATCATAATCGCTCTGGTATTATTAATGTTATTGTAATAGCCGCATGCTACACACAGAGAATTTCCTGGAGTTTTCCTAGGGCTCACACACCCATTTTTATTTAATTAATTTTATTATTTTAAAAGTTTATTACCAAATCTGCCTTGATCTTGGATCACATAATTCTTAAATGTACCGTCTAGAGCAGGCTAGACGGCTCATCAAAAGGGAACCAAGTCCATGCTTGGGAAGGATCTTCTCAGAGCAGAAAGGTGCTGGTGCCCAGGGAAGCACAGGAGAATGACAGGCTTCCATGAGATGGACGCAGACAGTCATTTGGGTAATCGTGGTAGCTGCATTTAAGTGTGTCTCGAGGAAACAAATAAAAATAGGTCAGCTTTCAAGTGGTCATGGGTTTGAGCCAGGCTGTGGATCAGTCTGATGCTGAGATCAGATGAGAACACTTCTGAGCAGACTGAAAACCTCCCAGGGACCTGTTCCTCGACACTGGCCCTCATCGTAGAGCCTGCACGCTCCGTGCCGAAACTCCTGCTCTGCCCCCATGAGAAGGAATGTCCACCACCGGATGACCTTGCAGTTCAGTTCATCAACACATTGAGGGACATGGGAATGTCCCAAAGGTGGATGGTGGTTGTCACCGGCTACAAAGGTGGAGTCTCTACAGAACATTTATTGAAATCACATGCAAGTACCAAGCAATTGCTCAGCACAGATACCAAAACAAAGCCACACCAAATGAACAACAACCCTGACACGTCAAACAACTGTGGCAGTGCGACCTCTCCCTCTCTCTGGCTCTTTCCTATCAGCATTTATTTTTTATTTATTTTTATTTTATTTTATTTTATTTTATTTTTTGAGACGGAGTCTCGCTCGTCACCCAGGCTGGAGTGCAGTGGCATGATCTCGGCTCACTGCAAACTCTGCCTCCCGGGTTCAAGCGATTCTCCTGCCTCAGCCTCCCGAGTAGCTGGGATTACAGGTGCCCGCCACCATGCCCAGCTAATTTTTGTATTTTTAGTAGAGACGGGGTTTCTACATATTGGCCAGGCTGGTCTAGAACTCCTGACCTCAGGTGATCCACCCACCTCGGCCTCCCAAAGTGCTGGGATTACAGACGTGAGCCACCATGCCTGGCCTCCTGTAAGCATTTAAACCTCTCCCGGCTGCCCTGTTTCTCTTCCTGCGTTCCCTTGAGGCTCTCCCAGGTCCACTCCAGGCATGGCCCTGGTGTGCCTTCAGCAGCAGAACCTGGGGGATCCAGAGAAGTCACATTCTTGGGCTCACCAGAGACCTGCCAAATCAGAATCTCTGGGGTGGGCCCAGCAAGTGAGGTTTAAACCAGCTTCCCCATGGGTGGAAAGCTTGCTAAAATGCAGACCCCTTTACAGCAGGTCTGAGCTCCTAATAAGTGCCCCGGTTTGGTGGGGGTCTGCACCCCTCACTCACCCTGACCCTTTGCCCTCTGACCCTGCTACTTCAAAGGTCCCACCAGGGTCCTCATCTTGTGGGTGTCCAGGCAACATCTCACCCTGCAGGTTACTCCCTTTCTGCAAATGTTCCCCTGGTCCCACCCTCTACAGCTGCTCCTCTTGGGTCCTTCCCAGTGATCCACTCCCTGCCCAAGAAGTGTTCAGAAAGGGACCGGAAAAAGCCCCCAGACATGAATCGTGGGGAGGAGAGAGGGGCATGCACCCCTGCTCTCACCAACTAGGAGCCAACACTACCCACTCCCAGAGACCAGCGCCTCCTCCCACAGGTGAGGGCTTCCCCTCCCACTCCCCGTCCTGATCACCAGCCCCGGAGGTCCAGCTGCAACTCGTTCACAAAGGTGGCCCCCAGGCATCCTCTCTCACCCCCAAGAACAGCATCTCCATCTTCCTCCTTACTGGGAGGGAGGTTATTCATTATTAGGGGCATCCAACATCCCTCACAATGAGCCTGTGGGGTGATCAGACAGCAATATTGCCACCCAGAGCACCCACACTGGAAATGGCTTAATCTCCACCCCAAGGGTACTGCCTAAGGCTCTTCAAATACCCGGAAACATGGTACCTGAGTTCATAGAGGAGCAAACATTTCATGTGGCTCTGGGGAAAACATCGAAGGGCATCAGCTTTATTCTCGTCTGCCTTAACTCACTGGGTTGAGCTATTGTGAGTCTGAAGAGAATCATCAAAGGCAGCACAGCACAGCAGTTAAGGTCCCTATTGAGTCAGGCTGCCCAGGTTGGGAGCCTGGCTGTGCCTCTGGCTAGTCGTGATGGTGGACAGATTGCTTGACTTCTCTGAACCTCAGGATTCTCATCTGTACAAGATGCCGGCAGGATCTTCCTCAAAGGGGTTCCCCCAAGGGTGGCAGGAGATAACAGATGAAAAGCATTTAGAGCAGTGCCCGGCACAGACTCATGCTGAAAAAATGCTGGCTGTGTTATTATGAAGACCCTTGAATTAAACTGTATAAAAATTAAACTATAAGTCTGACCTGATGAGCAGCCGACCAAGTGGTATCCCAAGTCTGTGCGGAAAGGCCCTGAGGTAGGCTCCATCTACCCCAGAAACCTCAGAAATGAAACTCATCCTTCTGAAATAATCAAGCTCTTGGACAGGCACCAAGCCTATGCACCTTCAAGACTGCAAAGGAAAAGCTGTACACCCAGTGAAATCAGGAAAGAGAAATAGACCTTCTGAGTCAACTTAGGGAAGATGGTACAAAAATGATGGCCTCCTTGAAAAATCTGGGAAGATGGTCACTGAAAGCATTTACGATTGGATTTTTTTTTTTTTGAGACGGAGTCTCGCTCTGTCGCCCAGGCTGGAGTGCAGTGGCGCAATCTCGACTCACTGCAAGCTCCGCCTCCTGGGTTCACATCATTCTCCGGCCTCAGCCTCCGAGTAGTCAGGCGCCCGCCACCGCGCCCGGCTAATTTTTTTTTTATTTTTAGTAGAGACAGGGTTTCACCATGGTCTCGATCTCCTGACCTCGTGATCTGCCTGCCTCGGCCTCCCAAAGTGCTGGGATTACAGGTGTGAGCCACTGCGCCTGGCCTACGATTGGATTTTATTTCCTGTTCTCATCTTTGAGAGTGTGTGTGTGATGGGAGGAGGCGATAGTAAAGGCAGGTGGGCCATGCCCTGGGGCAGAAGAACACTGGCTGGAGATGCTGTGCGCAGGCTGAGGACTGGGCAATCTGCCTGCTGCCCTGACAGCCCGGAGAGGGCAATCCCAACCTATATGGCAAGCTCCAAAAAGAAGGCAATTCTTACAAGGCTCTGAAAACCTAAAATTCTAAAGCTATTTTTAAAAACAAGATACAAAACACTACTAATACGTCATTTACGTTCACAAATGAACAAAAACACATTTTTAGTTTGAAAACAAACAGGCCCTAACTTTCAGCACAGACACAGCACTTAATTGAGTGCCAGGCACTGTTCTACGTCCTTCCCATCTATTAATTCATTTACACTCCATGCTCCAAGGTAGGAGCCATTACGCATGGTTTGCTGTGGGGCGGGAGGCAGAGTTGGGACCCTGGCCCTTCCAGGGTGGTTCCAGAGTTGGGGCTGTTAACTATGATGCTGTTTTACAGGAATCTGGGTGACTTCTGAGGGCCGCTTGGCTCTGGGACGGGTGGAGATGGTGCTGGAATCCAGGCACACAGGTAGGGTGGTAGGCGGCGTGCCTGGAAGGTGACCACCTCCTGCCACTTGGCACAAGAGTGTAGCCCTGTCATCTGGGTGTCCCCATGCCGCCAGATTACTCGGGTTGTCATAACTACCTATCTATAACCCAATAAACCCTCAGGGGCAAAGGGCACCACCAGATGCTAAGGAAATCTTGGTACGATCTAAACTGAGGGTGGGGGCTGGAGGTGTCTTACAAGAACTTGCATCTAATTTTTGCCAGCCAAAAGAATTAAAAACTAGATACTGAGAATGTTTCCTTTGGAAAGGCTGCTCCAGACTGTTAGGAATCTGGGCTTTCTGATTCAGTCTCTTGCCTTTCCAGCACCTAAAATCTTGCTGGAGGGACAGTGAGAGAAGAACCCACTGGTCTCTCAAGGTCTACCCGCTGGTGACATGAGTGACTGGGGGAGCTGACACAGCTGTGTCCCTGGGGAACCTCCCGGGTTGGCAATAAAATGGGGCAGTAATGCTCTGACAATCAGCTTGCAGTGGACTGCCTGCGGAACTGGAGATGAAAGCCTTCGTAAAGCCCCAAGCCCTTTTACTGTGTGTACGCGTACCCCTGGCGTCCTCTGCCCCATTTCCCTAAATACCAACCTCAGGTGCCCTCCGCCCACCTCCCGGAAGCTGCCAGGTCTGGGCAGAAAACCAAAACAACCCTTGGGCCTTTGTCTCCCCTCTAAAGGCCAGCTGGGGCAAGAGGGAGCGAGGGCCCGCCCAGGCACCGGCTGGGGAAAGGCTGTTTGATGTAGGGCCACCTCCCGGGGTGAGGATGCAAGGGGACCTCGGCAGGAACCAAGTGAGGAAACTGAGGCTGGGTGGTCTGGGCAGCGCCCCGCTCGGGCTCGGGTCCCCGCGGGGTCTGTGCTCCAGCCACGGGTCTGGCAGACCCTCACGCAGGAGTCCCAGGGGTCCCAGTGGCCGTCCCTCGGAGCCGGGCACCCGTTGTCCTTCGGATCGTAGGACGTGCCACCCCTCGAACCTCAGGACCCGCCGTCCCTCAGACCCCGGGCACTGACACCCCTCAGACCCCGAGCACCCCCGCCCTTCGGACCCAAGGACGTGCCGTCCCTCAGACCCCGCGCACTGACACCCCTCAGACCTCGGGCACTGCCGCCCCTCAGACCACGGACACAGCTGCCCCTCAGAACCCATGCACCCGGGCCCCTCAGACATAAGGACTCGCTGCCCTTCGAGCCGAGCACCCAGCGCCCAGTCAGGCCCCCAGCCGCCCTCAGCCTGGCCCGGCCGCGCCGCTCACCCTGCTGCCCGGAGGAATCTGCCATGGCTGGGAATCCCGGACCCGCAGCTGCGGCTACAGACACTTCCTAGAATCTGATGCAACCGCCGCCCCGGAAGTCGCGCCCCACGCCGGGCCCGTCTTCCGGGACACGCCCGGTCGCTAGGCAACTACCAGGGGCTCCGGATGTCGCCGGCCCGGAGCATGCTGGGAGCTGTAGTTCAACCCAATGGCGACCCGCGCTCCGGAGCATCGCGCGGCCAAGCGTTCAGTGGCCGTGCTGGGAGTAGTCAGCCCAGCCGCGGGGAGACAAGCACTAAAGACTGAGCGTCCTGTAATAGGTGTTTAAGTCATGATTGCGCTAAGCGCCGTGGGGACCAGGCCCAGCCTGGAGGTCAGAGGCGGCCTCGGGACAGGGTGTGCTGGCGAGACGGGATGGTTCCCAGGAGGCCGACCTGGAGCAGGGCCTGGGGATGGGCGGGAAGAGCGCTCCAGGCCTAGGGACCGCCCTGCCAATGACCCTGCGGAAAGCAAGCCACTATGAAGTGTTGCGTGAACAGGCTTCTCCATCTCTTCTCAGACCCCATTCTGGAGCCATCCCCAACCCCCTTAGGGCTCCTGCATTCTGTGTGCATGATGTCACCTCCCAAGGATATCCCACCCAAGGTTCGTGCACCCATCCAAAATGAGAGGAAATGCTATTTAAGAAACAGAATTTTAATATGTCAAGAAAAATTATTAGCCAGGATTAGTGGCTCATGCCTGTAATCCCAGCACCTTGAAAGGACAAGGCAGGAGGATCATTTGAGTCCAGGAGTTTGAAGCTGCAGTGAGCTACGACTGTGCCACTGCATTCCAGCCTAGGCGACAGAGTGAGACCCTTTCTCAAAAAATAAAAAGTAAAAAATCTTCTAGTTACTTTTTGGAACCTCATGTCTAATTTCATAATAAATTCTAAGGCCGGGCACGGTGGCTCACACCTGTAATCCCAGCACTTTGGGAGGCCGAGGTGGGCGGATCACCTGAGGGCAAGAGATCGAGACCAGCCTGGCCAACATGGTGAAACCCTGTCTCTGCTAAAAATGCAAAAATTAGCTGGACATGGTGGCGCTTGCCTGTAGTCCCAGCTACTTGGGAGGCTGAGGCAGGAGAACTGCTTGAACCCAGGAGGCAGAGGTTGCAATGAGCCGAGATTGCGCCATTGCACTCCAGACTGGGCAACAGAGTGAGACTCCGTCTCAAATAAAAAAAAAAAAAAAAAAAAAGAATAATAAATAAATAAATTCTCAATTCTACTGGGGGGTGGAAAAAAAGACGGTAAGGGAGAGTTTGTTTACATTTGTGAAAAGATCGTGTAGCATGTGCTGTTACTTGCGCAGGATGTGGGAGGGTTTGTGAGACCCCAACTAATCCCAAAGGAGGGACCAAGTCCCGGGACTTAGGGGACGAAGATGTGGCCAGGTCTTACCATGACTCTCACAGTGCCTGTTCTCACTCATCACTCTAGGACCATGAGTCACCCAAGCCCAGCTCGGCCACATGCCTTCCTGGGAGAAGGAACCGGAGGCGCCCAGGAGAGTCAGAAGCCTCTTAGAGATAAACATTCGGCTAAGGCTTGCCCTGCCCTTCCTTTCTTGCACTAAGAAAGCCTCCTGACATCAGGTCAGGCAAGCCAGAGTTTGGCTGTAAGACCTGGGGTGAGTTTAACTTCTCTGAGCTTCCAGATGTCTTGTTTTTAAATCTGCAAAGTGGGGCCGGGCACTGTGGCTCACGCCTGTAATCCCAGCACTTTGGGAGACCAAGGCGGCCAGGTCATTTGAGGTCAGGAGTGCAAAACCAGCCTGGCCAACATAGTGAAACTTCATCTCTACTGGGAAAAAAAAAAAGGGTCTGCAGAGCGGAACTGGGAAATGATCACCTGCTCAGGTGGCCGAGCTGTGTCTAAGAGTGCTGCAGTGTCTAGCAGCAGTGGGTCCCGCCTCCCCAGTCCTGCTGCGTCCCAGCCCTACCACCAGGGCAAGGACACTCTCTGAACCTCAGCATCCCCCTGGTGTTGTAGTTCTTTGGGACAGCACATTGGGTTACAGGTTGTTATGGGTTGCATTGTGTCTCTCCCAAAAGATGTGGAAATCCTATAACCACCAGGACCTGTGAATGTGACCTTATTTGGAAATAGGGTCTTTGCAGATGATAAAGTCATAAGATGAGGTCATTAGGGGGGACGTTAATCCAGTATAACTGATATCCTTGTAAAAAGGGAAAATTTCAGCTGGGCATGGTGGCTCATACCTGTAATCCCACCTCTCTGGGAGGCTGAAGAGGGAGGATGGCTTGAGCCCCAGAGTTTCAGGTTGCAGTGAGCTATGATTGTGCCACTGCATGCCAGCCTGGGTGCAGAGTGAGACCCTGTCTCTAAAATAAATAAATGAATAAATAAATACACATATATAAATTAATTTAAAAAAATTTTTTGAGACGGAGTTTCACTCTTGTTGCCCAGGCTAGAATGCAATGGTGCCATCTTGGCTCACCGCAACCTCAGTGTCCCAGGTTCAAGAGATTCTCCTGCCTCAGCCTCCCGAATAGGTGGGATTACAGGCATGTGCCACCATGCCCGGCTAATTTTGTATTTTTAGTAGAGACGGGTTTCTCCATGTTGGCCAGGCTGGTCTCGAATTCCCGACCTCAGATGATCCGCCCGCCTCGGCCTCCCAAAGTGCTGGGATTACACGCGTGAGCCACCATGCCCAGCCAATTAATTAAAATGTTTAAGTGGAGGAAATTTGGACACTGACAAGCAGGGAGGGTGCCATGTTAAGATAAAGGCAGAAACTGGGGCGATGCTTCACAAGCCAAAGGGCACCAAACATTGTCAGCAAATCACCAGAAGTCAGGGGACAGCCTGGGACAGATTCTCCCTCACAGCCCCAGAAGGAGCCCACCCTGCTGATGCCCTGACCTGAGACTTCCAGCCTCCAGAACTGTGAGACAATAAATCCTTGTTGAAGCCCCCAAGCCTGGCAGCCCCAGCAAACTGATAATGAGGATTTCACAAGAGCACGTAGGGTAAGGACATCACACAGAACCCTGCCTACTAAATATTCCGCAAGTGCAGACCCATCCTGGAAGCTTCACTGGCCTGTTCTGGATGGCTGAGGGGCTGATGCCTTGGTCTGGCCCTGGGCCATGGGCAGCAGGTGAGTGAACAGCACCTTCCCCGGGCAGCTGGACTTTCCTCGGCCACCAGTGGCCACCGTGCAGGGGCTCTCCCTTGAGTCTCCTAAGGGCCAAGGCCAAGTTCTCCAAGAACGCTGCTCTTTCCATGCCAGAGGATGGACAGTCCCCCTCAGTGTCCATGGGCAGCAGGGTGTCGCTGGGCCCACTGCTTTGAGGTGACTAAAGCAGAGTGATTTCTTTGCTGGCACAGCCAGCAGCTCAGGCCCTACCCAAACCACTTTTAGGGAAAGAAATGTCACATGGCCTGCAAGCCAGGGTAGCGCAGCGTTAGAGACGAATACACTCAGGTGAGCTCCCAGCTCTGCTGCCAACTCCCGGGGGGGTCCCAAGACAAGCCTGTTGTGGGTTGAGCTGTGGTCCCCCCAAAATGATTATGCCCATGTTCTAACCCCTGGTACCTGCGACTGTGACTTGATTTTTATTCATTTATTATTTTATTTTTTTTTAAAGCAGGGTCTCGCTCTGTCACCCTGGCTGGAGTGCAGTGGTGCAATCACAGCTCACTGCTGCCTCAACCTCGTGGGCTCAAGTGATCCTCCCACCTCAGCCTCCTGAGTAGCTGGGACCACAGATGTGCACCACCATACGTGGCTAATTTTTTATATTTTTTGTAGAGATGGGGTTTCATTATGTTGCCCAGGCTGGTCTTGAACTCCAGGGCTCAAGTGATCCTCCCGCCCTGGCCTCCCAAAGTGAGAGGATTACAGGCGTGAGCCACTGGACCTGGCTGGCTTTATTTGAAAAAGGCGTCCTTGCAGATATAATCAAGTTAAAATGAGGTCATCCTGGATTAGAATGGGTCCTAATCCAATGCCTAGTGTCTTTATGAGAGAGAGATTCAGAGATACAGAGATAGGTGTGAAGGGGGAAGCAATTGGAGTGATGTAGCACAAGCCAAGGATGGCCGGTGGCCACCAGAAGCCAGGAGAGAGGCAAGGAAGGACCTCCTGGAGAGCCTCTGAAGGAACCCACCCTGCGGACGCCTTGGTTTGGAACTTCTGGCCCTCTGGAGCTGTGAAAGAATCAATCCCTATTGTTTCTGTTTTTGTTTTTAATGTTTAACTGTTGTGGGTATATGGTAGGCATGTAAATTCCTATTTGTTTTTAAAAATTATTATTATTATTTTTGAGACAGAGTCTCGCTCCCTCACCCAGGCTGGAGTGCAGTGGTGCAATCTCAGCTCACTGCGACCTCTGCCTCCTGGGTATAAGTGATCCTCCTGCCTCAGCCTCCCGAGTAGCTGGGACTACAGACGTGCACCACCACACCCAGCCACGTAATAATTTTTATATTTGTAGTAGAGACGGGGTTTCACCATGTTGGCCAGGCTGGTCTCGAACCCCTCACATCAGGTGATCTGCCTGCCTCAGCCTCCCAAAGTGCTGGGATTGGAGGCGTGAGCCAACGCGCCCAGCCTGCTTTTATTTTTAATGTTTAATTGTTGTGGGCGCTTGGTGGGTGTGTAAATCCCGATTGTTTCTGTTTTTAGTTTTAGTGTTTAATTGTGTGGGAATCTACATGGTAGATGTGTGAATTTGTATTGTTTCTGTTTTTAATGTTTAATTGTGTGGGTGCATGGTGGGTATGTAAATCCCGATTGTTTCTGTTTTTAGTTTTAGTGTTTAATTGTGTGGGAATCTACATGGTAGATGTGTGAATTTGTATTGTTTCTGTTTTTAATGTTTAATTGTGTGGGTGCATGGTGGGTGTGTAAATCCCGATTGTTTGAACACCCCAGTTTGTTGTCATTTGTTACTGCAGCTTGGGGACGCTTGTGTGAAGTCCTTTTCCTCTCTGTGCCTCAGTTTCCACTCAGCCGTTTAAACAACCAGAATTTCAGTCTTCCAGCACAGACACCTGGGGCTGCAATAAGGTGAATGCAGACACCATGACGCAGGCTAAAACTGGGAGTGCAGGCAGGAAGGCCTGGGGCTGCCCCACACCCACTCCTGGAAGTTTTGGGGACTTTGCTGCTGCTCATGCAAAGGTCTAAATGCCCAGCTCTGTGCCAGGGCCCTGAGACACCGTCAGGCATTTCCAGGAGGATGTGCCCAAACGCCAGCATGGTCCTGACAGGGCTGCCAGGCTCATTTGCCTCTTCTGAAAGCAAAAAGAAGAGACATGAAATGAATTTCTATTAACTGGGACCATGACTTCTGCGAAGGAATGAAAATGCTTTTAATTCATAACCAAGAAATCCTACTTACATTTGAAAAACTTGTCAACCCATTGCTGAACATCTGGGAGAACACGGGGCGGGGGTGGGCTTCGTTAGTGCCCAGCCTGGAACCCCCCAATTGCCCCGAGGACCTCCCTGGCTCAAGTAGCTCCAGTCTCTCCCGGCTTGATACCAGGAACATCATGGCGCACAGCTCGCGTCCCAGGTCAGCCTTCGTCTTCTGTCTATAATTACACCACCCTCTTGAACGTCCCTGGACCAGACGTGTATAACAGCACATGTCCATGAGCCGACATCAAGAGGACCATGCTCTGCATACCATCCTGTGGCATGCCCTCCCCTCTGTGGGACCCCTCATGTTGTGCAGGGACCCCCAGTCCTCTCTCACAGCTGTGCAGTGTGCCGCTGTGGGAACTCACAGCTGTTTACAGCCCTTTCTCTGTCGTGGACATCTGCTTGGGAGGCTGAGGCAGGAGGATCGCTTAAGCCCAGCGGTCAAGGCTGCAGTGAGTGGAGACACTCAACGCCAGCTGCTGTGAAAGCAGCCAGGAGGGAGGTTGTACCCTGAAAAGCCACAGGGTCAGAGCTGCCCAAGACCATGGGAACCCACCTCTTGCATCTGCGTGGCCTGGATGTGAGACCTGGAGTCAAAAGAGATCGTTTTGGAACTTTAAAATTTGACTCCCCCTCTGGATTTTGGACTTGCATGGGCCCTGTAACCCCTTTGTTTTGGCCAATCTCTCCCATTTGAAACAGCTGTATTTACCCAATACCTGTACCCCCATTGTATCTAGGAAGTAACGAGCTTGCTTTTGATTTTACAGGCTCATAGGCGGAAGGGACTTGCCTTGTCTCAGATGAGACTTTGGACTGTGGACTTTTGGGTTAATGCTGAAATGAGCTAAGACTTTGGGAGACTCCAGGGAAGGTATGATTAGTTTTGAAATGTGAGGACTTGAGATTTGGAGGTGTCAGGAGTGGAATGATATGGTTTGGGTATGTCCCCACCCAGATCTCATCTTGAATTGTCCTCCTATAACTCCCACGTGTTGTGGGGGAGACCCGGTGGGAGATAATTTGAATCATGGGGGTGTTTTCCCCCATACTGTTCTCGTGGTAGTGAATAAGTCTCATGAGATCTGATGGTTTTATCAGGGGTTTCCACTTTTGCATCTTCCTTATTTTCTCTTGCTGCCACCATGTAAGAAGTGCCCCTTTCAGCCGCGACTGGAGCAGCTGGGAAAAAAGGCACCAAGTCCCTATGCTGCAAACAGCACGGGGACCCTGGGACCAGCCCACAAAACCATTTTCTCCTAAGCCTCCAGGCCTGGCGAAGCCCTTTGACATGCCCTGGAGACATACCCCATTGTCTTGGGGATTAACATTCCGCTCTCGTTACTCATGCAAATTTCTGCAGCTGGCTTGAATTTCTCCTCAGAAAATGGGTTTTTCTATTCTATCATATTGTCAGACTGCAAATTTTCCAAACTTTTACGCTCTGCTTCCCTTATAAAACTGAATGCCTTTAACAGTACCCAAGTCACCTCTCGAATGTTTTGCTGCTTAGAAATTTCTTCTGCCAGATACCCTAAGTCATCTCTGTCAAATTCAAAGTTCCACAAATCTCTAGGACAGGGGCAAAATGCTGCCGGTCTCTGCTAAAATATAACAAGAATCACCTTTGCTCCAGTTCCCAGCAAGTTCCTTATCTTCATCTGAGACCACCTCAGCCTGGACCTTATTGTCCATATTGCTCTTGGGCTTTTGGTCAAAGCCATTCAACAAGTCTCTAGGAGGTTCCAAACTTTCCCACATTTTCCTGTCTCCTTCTAAGCCCTCCAAACTGTTTCCGTCTCTGCCTGTTACCCAGTTCCAAAGTCACTTCCACATTTTTGGGTATCTTTTCAGCAATGCCCCACTCTACTGGTACCGATTTCTGTATTAGTCCATTTTCATGCTGCTGATAAAGACATACCCAAGACTGGGAAGAAAACGAGGTTTAATTGAACTCACAGTTCCACATGGCTGGGGAGGTCTCAGAATCATGGCGGGAAGCAAAAGGCACTTTTTTTTTTTTTTTTTTTTTTGAGATGGAGTTTCACTCTTGTTGCCCAGGCTGGAGTGCAGTGGCTCGATCTCCACTCACTGCAAACTCCCAAAAGGCACTTCTTACATGGCGGCGGCAAGAGAAAATGATGAGGTGTTAAAGCAGAAACCCCTGCTAAAACTGTCAGATCTTGTGAGACTTATTCCTACCACAAGAACAGTACGGGGGAAACTGCCTCCATGATTCAAATTATCTCCCCACTGGGTCCCTTCATACAACATGTGGGAATTATGAGAGTACAATTCAAGACGAGATTTGGGTAGGGACACAGCCAAATCATATCAGATGTTGAGCATTTCTTCATGTTTGTTGGCTGCTTGTATGTCTTCTTTTGAGAAATGTTTGTTCATGTATTTTGCCCACTTTTTTTTTTTGAGCTGGAGTCTTGCTCTGTCGCCAGGCTGGAGTGCAGTGGCGTGATCTCGGCTCACTGCAACCTCCGCCTCTGGGGTTCAAGCAATTCTCCCGCCTCAGCTCCTGAGTAGCTGGGACTGCAGGCACACACCACCATGCTTGGTTAATTTTACATTTTTAGTAGAGCTGGGGTTTCACCATGTTGGTCAGGATGGTCTCAACCTCTTGACCTCGTGATCCACCCACCTCAGCCTCTCAAAGTGCTAGGATTACAGGTGTGAACCACCACACCTGGCCTTTTGCCCACTTTTTAATGGGATTATTTGTGTGTTGCTTGTTGAATTGTTTAAGTTCCCTATGGAGTCTGGATATTAGACCTTGGTCGGACAGATAGTTTGCAAATACTTTTTCCCATTCTGTAGGTTTTCTGTTTACTCTGCTGCTAGTTTCTTTTTCTGTGCAGAAGCTCTTTAGTCTAATTAGGTCCCACTTGTCAATTTTTGTTTTTGTTGCAATCGCCTTTGAGGACTTAGTCATAAATTCCTTCCCAAGACTAATGTCCAAAATGATGTTTCCTAAGGTTTTCTTCTATCATTCTTATAGTTTGAGGTCTTAAATTTAACTCTTTAATCCATCTGAACTTAATTTTTGTGGTATCTAATAG